>NC_000006.12:2029696-2181212 GCF_000001405.40 Homo sapiens | reverse complement strand
AATTTCATCGATCTGTCTTTTTTTTTTTTTTTTTTTTTGAGATGGAGTCTCGCTCTGTCACCCAGGATGGAGTGCAGTGGTGTGATCTCGGCTCACTGCAAGCTCCACCACCCGGGTTCATGCCATTCTCCTGCCTCAGCCAGCCTGAGTAGCTGGGACTACAGGCACCCAGGTGTAGTCACTACGTCTGGCTAATTTTTTGTATTTTTAGTAGAGACTGGGCTTCACTGTTTTAGCCAGGATGGTCTCGATCTCCTGACCTCATGATCTGCCCGCCTCAGCCTCCCAAAGTGCTGGGATTACAGGCTTGATCCACCGCACCTGGCCTTCATCCATCTGTCTTATGTACTTTTGTTACAAATGACTTGGAGAGGAAATACCTAATGAAGTAGGCTTCTTGGACCTCTGGCTGGTTCTAACAGTTTAAAAACATTGGAGAAAGAAATCTTGTTTATCAAATATTTTGGAAATTCTTTGTAAAATTCTTTGGAATTAATGGGAGGATTTGTTCACATTAGCTATTATTTGTTCCAAGGTGACATCTTGCTCTGTATTTATTTATTTATTTATATATAATTTATGTCTCAACTAATTCCACAGAGGAACAAGTTACTCAAGTAGTCAAGTATAGATAGATATTGTGGGCTACTATATAGCTTTATCACAATTCTTCTTAAGTCAGTGAGAGGAAAAAGGGAAAAATTCAATTTTTCATATTCTAAGTCTTGAACTTTATTTTCCAATTTTTATGTTTGCTAACCATTTTTTTCTTAGTACATTCAAAAGATGAAAAGATCAAAATTTATTGTCAAACTTGGAATTACCACACTGGACCTAGCCCCTGGTCAGGACAGCTGAGAAAGCAGATTAGTTCTGGTATATACCTTTCTCTGTAGCATTAGTCTTTTCAAAAAGATCTAGGTGCTTTATGTTTGGTTTGTGCTCTGTAAGTTGAGATCTTGACATCCTTCATCTTTTATTTCCCTGAGAGAGGTACTTTGATATTTTGAAATATGCCTTTGACATTGCACAACCTCTGGTGTCTATGCCTATGGTGGTAGCCAGCCAGTTGCTAGTCCTCTGGCTTTGTTTTCCTCCTGCATTCCTGAGCAGTCTTGAAGTACCCATTTGGTTTCATTTAGACCACAGATCCAGAGGAACTGCTTGGTCAGTCCACCTGCAGTTAACCTGTTCTTTGTAATGGGCACTGGTAGGAAATTGTGGTGTTACAATGCATCTTTCTCATCTTTAAATGTGATCAGATAGATGGGTGTATCACCTTAAGTTTCATTTCTATTTCTAAACGATGGGTGTTTTGAGATAGATGAGTGTTTCAGGATATTTGTATGATCTTATGGACTCACATTGGTATAAGAAACTTCAGGGCTTCTTCTAAATGTCTGATAGATGGGTAGATAGATAGATGGGTTTATCACCTTAAGTTTCATTTCTATTTCTAAATGATGATTTTACTGATTTTACATACTTTGGCAGTATCTTAATCTGTTTGTGCTACTGTAACAAAATACTACAGAGTAATTTATAAATAATAGAAATTTATTTCTCAAATTCTGGAGGCTGAGAAGTCTGATCAAGGCACTACAGGATTGGTGTCTGGTGAGGGCTGCTCTCTACTTCCAAGATGGTGCCTAGTCATGGCATCCTCTGGAGGATGTTCTCACGTGGGAGAACAAAAGAATGAGAATGACTCTCTCTGAAGCCTCTTTTATAAGGGCATAATTTATTTGTGAGGACAGAACACTCATGTCTTAATTACTTCCCCAAAGGTGTTTCCTCTTAATACTACCACAGTGGGCATTAAGTTTTAACACATGATTTGGGGCAATATTCAGGCTATAGCAGGCAGTAATTATAATTTCAAAATGGAGAACCCTAAAATATTTTTTTTTTGGCATAACCTTTTTGTCTTCTCTGTGGACCTTGATACTGTTACTTCTTGAAATCAAGTTTTAAGATATTTTGAAATGTTTTATTAGAGAGCCAACAACCTCTTGTTTCTCTAAAGGAGTTATCTTAGATTTAAGTTGGATTGTTCTGTAATATTTGTACTATAACGTTTTACTGTGTTTACGATGCTCATGTGCATGTACTATGGTGGTTTGCATTTATTTCTCATCCCGTGGATTTCATAATAGTATTCTTGAGGACAGGCAGCATTCTTATTCGCTGTTTATGCCACATGAAGAATGAAATTGTCTTTTGCACAAAGTTATTCAATGGAAGAATATTGAGAGATTTCAAATTATTCTGTTCTGATAATGACATCTCCATTTGTCTATACTTGTTTGTGGTATACACCATTTTTTAACAAAGAATATTTCCAAGGATGTTTTGGCATCAGAATATCATTGTTAGTCTGGAAAGTCAGGGCCTGTGGATGTTCAAAGACATTGAAAAAGGGGAATTAAATATGAAAATTCTTTTAAATCCTGACTTAATGCCAGCTATGTTTCTTGATTTAAACTTTTATTTTAGATTCATGGAGTACATACACAGGTGTGTTACAAAGGTACATTGTGTGATGCTTAGGTGTGGAGCGTGAATGAATCTGTCACTCAGGTAGTGAGCATAGTGCCTGATATGGTTTGGATTTGTGTCCCTGCCTAAATCTTATGTTGGATTGGAACCCCTGGTGTTGGAGGTAGAGCCTACTGGGAGGTGATTGGATCATGGGGGTGGATCTTTCATGAATGGCTTTCATGAATGGCACCACCTACCGGTGGTGTTCTCTTCAAACAGTGCCCACGAGATCTGGTTGTTTAAAGCATGTGGCACCTCTTCCCTTTCTCCTCTTCCTCCTGCTTTGGCCATGTCAGACATGCCTCCTTCCCCTTCACCTCCTTCCACCATGATTGTAAGCTTCCTGAGGCCTCCCCAGAAGCCAAGCAGATGCCAGCATCATGCTTCCTGTATAGCCTGTGGAACCGTGAGCCAATTAAACATCTTTTCTTTATAAGTTACCTAGCCTCAGGTATTTCTTTATAGCAGTGCAAGAATGGACTAATACAGTACACAATAAGTAGTTTTCCAGCTGTTGCTCTCCTTCTTCCCTCCCGCCAGTAGTCCCCAGTGTCTATTGTTCCCATCTTTAGGTCCATGAATACCCAATGTTTATCTCCCACTTATATGTGAAAATATGTGGGATTTGGTTTTCTGTTTCTGCTTTAGTTTGCTTAGGATAATGGCCTTCAGCTGCATCCATGTTGCTGCAAAGGACACAATTTTGTTCTTTTTTATGGCTGAATAGTATTCCATGGTGTATAGATACCACGTTTTCTTTATCTAGTCCACTGTTGATGAGCACCTGCGTTGATTCTATGTCTTTACTATTGTGAATAATGCTGCGGTGAATATTCAAGTATGCATGTCTTTTTGGTAGGATGATTTATTTTCTTTTGGGACTGTCTTGTTCCAGTTCTGAAGGGGAATGCTTCCAGCTTTTGCCTGTTGAGTATGATGTGGGCTGTCATCTGATCATACATGGTTCTTATTATTTTTAGGCACGTTCCTTTGATGCCTAGTGTTTTGAGGGTTTTTATCACGAAAGGATGTTGGATTTTATCGAAAACTTTTTCTGTGTCTATTGAGATGATCATGTGGTTTTTGTTTTTAATTCTCTTTATGTGGTGAATCATATATATTGATTTGTGTATGTTGAACCAATCTGGCATTTCAGAAATAAAGCCTACTTGATCGTGGTGAATAAACTTTTTGATGTGCTGCTAGATTCAGTTTGCCAGTATTTTGTTGAGGATTTTATGTCTGTTTATCAGGGATATTGGCCTGAAGTTTTATTTTTTCGTTGTTTTTCTGCCAAATTTTGATATCAGGATGACGGCCAGCTATGTTTTTATTCATCTGATTGTCTAGTTGTTTTTGTCTTCATAGTTACTACCCCAAACCCAGTCTACTTTCCTGATCTCTCCAGATTATACGTACTGCAGACCCATCTGCTTTAACAAAATCTTTTTCCCACTTCATTGAGATTAAGTCTGCCCTTAGGTGAAGTACCTTCATCCCTTCATAATCTCTCTGTGGTTTAATGGTCCCCTTCTTCTTAGTCTCTGAACAGGAAAACATGCCTCCTGCTTACCAAGGCTGGCGTTCCAACTGCGTTCTTGGTACCAAAGACTTTTCTTACTGGATCCAGCTCCATTTATTTCCTGCCCTTTCCTGTTTCTCTCTTCCCCATCTGCCTACAAATTTTCTGAGACCATCCCTTTCCTAAAAGAGCTCTCTTCCTTTGTCACTGCTGCCTGCTTAGGTTGCTTTCCTAACCTGCTTGCCTTGATGGCCACATCTTTTCGAGGTGTCCCCTCAGTGCCAGGCCTTTTACCTGACCCTTCTCCCTCCTTGGCCCTGCACTATAACCTGTGTGCAGGACTGCCCTAGCACTGAAAGGTGTCTTCTGCAGGGAAGGAAGCAATTACTTCTGGGCCAATTCCCACTTTACTCCCCAGGATTGTCTGGGGAGAGTTTCTGAGAGGGAGTGTGAGATGAAGGATCTCTCCATATGGCTATTCTTTCCCACCTTTCTTGCTTCCTTGCACTCTTCACATGCCCTCCCCTCCTACCCCAACCAGCAGATCAGGTTGTCTCTACACCTTGCCTAAGTTAAGCCAGTAGGTGGTTTCTATGAGCTTTGCTCTGCTTCCTTCCTGGTTTATTCCCACCCAACCCCGAATTTCCTCCAAGTTAAGTTGGTTTACCAGACACTGGGTTAGGAACTTCATGCTTTAATCTTTGCTCGACTTCATGAAACACTGCTCACTTCACAAACATGTGAAACAACTTAGCTGAAGTAATGCAGCTGGGAAGAACCAAATTTCTGACATCAAAGTCTGTTTTTAACCATTGCTGCATTGTCTTAAGTGCTTGGAATTCTTTCCACAGTGAGATAAAATATTAAGAAAAAAAAATTTTTTTTAAGAAAAATGGGTTTTTCTAAACCATTTGTTTAGAAAATTGCTAATATATAATTAATAAATATAGTGAATCAGAATCTGTCCTGTTTTGGTACTATTTGTCAATCAGCAAAAGTAACTGATGTGGGGAGGCAGTCATCCCTGGTTGTAGAAGGGGGGCTGGACACCAGAATTACATGTTGTCAGTGTGCATTTAGCTGTAGTCACATCTGCTGTCTTCAGCCTCTTGACAGTAAAGCATCTGTGCTCTGAGGCACTTTTGTGTGATCCAGTTTTGTACACAGGCAGTTTGTTGGGAGCGTTACCATTGCCTCTGGTTCCTCATGTGTAAAATGGTGAGAAAATAGTATTACCTTATAAAATGGGGCTAATCATAGTGCCACAAGCCTGATAGGGCTGTTTATGTGGGTTCATGAACTTACGTGGGTTCATGCATAAGGTGCTTACAACATGTTTTAAGGGCTATATAAATGTTAGCTATAAAAATAATAATTACTCTTATTGTTAATAGAAATTGTTATTGGATATTTTATTTATGGTAACATGAGAGGGGCAGTGTATCTGCCTTTGTACGTGTATTAAAACCAAAGCATGCTCATTTCTCAGGAGCTCTGTTCTGTGAGGCTTGGGTAATGACAGTGTGAGCATGACTGGAAAGTTAAATTGGAGAGGGGCAATTCATTGAGTGAAATGATACAACCTCTGCTTCTTGGTTCTTCCCAAGCTGAGGTATAGTAATGCTGCTCTCTTTTTTCTGTCGACACAACTCCCTCAGGAATATCTGCAGAGTAGTGGGTCTGATGTCTCTTTTGCTTAACAGTTTTTACATAGTAACTTTTCTACCTCAAGTCCGAGGTGGCATATGTCTTCTTGGAAAAGAATTTCCTCTTTGAGCTCAACAGTGACAGGAACCATATTTTTGTTATTCTTTAGACTGCTTAAATTGCTGAGACTTTTAAAGGTTAATAATATTTTTATCCACCTTCAATTTTTCAATTTACTGTTGTTATATTGCATAACATGTGCTGTTCTCTTTTTGAGTTAATATATTGTAAGTTAACTTACATTAATAAATAAAACATCTCCTTTTTCAAGAAGCAAAAATGTGATTATTTCATAGATCCCCAAATCATCCAACCATAAGACTTCTCAAGAGATCTTTAAAATTATTACTTTGCACTGTGTTTCAAATAGCTACCCTCACCCCCCTTCCCCTTCAGATGATGAGATAGTTCCTCTGGTGTGGTCTGTGTGGCCTGCCTAGAGAGCCCTGATGCCCCACAGTGGCTGTAGACCTGGCCCCAAGTCCTGAAGGCTTCTGCCTTCCCAGGTGCATGTCTTATCCTGTTTCCTATATTTCATATTTGTGGTTGAGCCTTTAGAAACTAGGCACCATTCGGCCAGGCATGGTGGATCATGCCTATAATGCTAGCACTTTGGGAGGCCAAGATGGGCAGATCACTTGAGGTCAGGAGTTCGAGATCAGCCTGGCCAACATGGTGCAATCCCGTCTCTACTAAAAATACAAAAAGTTAGCCTGGCATGGTGGCACGTGCCTGCAGTCCTAGCTACTCGGGATCCTGAGGCAGGAGAATCACTTGAACCCAGGAGGTGGAGGTTGTAGTGAGCCGAGATCGCACCACCACACTCCAGCCCAGGTGACAGAGCAAGACTCCGTCTCAATTTAAAAAACAAAACAAAACAAAACAAAACAAAAAAAACTAGGCACCATTAAATTCTATTCCTGTTTGTGGCTATTCTTTGATTGTCTCAACAATACTTAAGATGAAAAAATAAAGTTTTAAAAAATTTAGCATGGTCTTTATCCTTGATTTAGATACTCTGCAAGCATAGTTTAAAAAAGATGAAATTCACCCATTAAAAAAGATGAAATGGGTGAATTTAAGCATGGAGTTCTAAACTTTTCTATGCGAGACCTGAAGATATCTTAGCAGGAAAGAATGGTATTCAAACATTCTCTTATCCTTTTTAAAAAGTACTTTTGTAAGCATTTTATCATCCATCCCCTCAGCCTTTTGAAGTAGATTGTGTATTTGATTATATTTTTTGAAATTCAGGAACTCTGAGCCTCCAGCATCTAAGCACAGAACCTTGCACACAGAAGATGCTTAATACATATTTATTGAATGAGTGAGACCGCCCAAGGTCACATGATTAGTTACTGTTCGTAGCCTGTAATTCATCTATATCTTGGTCCTCAGTCTCATGGTTTTACTCAATAATTATAATGTATTGGGATCGAGGGTTGGAATCCTCACTTGGACCTTTCTAGTTATATGGCCTTTGGACCCATTCTGGACCTCAGTTTGCTTCTAAGTAAATTGGCGATGCTAACCTGCCCTTTCTGTTCCTTAGGATGAGAAGAAATGTTACTCAGATGCTTGAGGAATGGTAGATATTCCTAAAACCAATCTTATGAAATGCTAGCGTAAGACTCAGTGGGTGTGGAAACCATCTATTTTATAATCTCTGAATATGGGCTTATTGCACTTATAAAAGCTACCACTGCAGTAATTCAGAAGCCTGGGTATTTTCCTTGACTCTTGATTATCAGAACTACAAGCAACCACAGCCTTTATAAGCAATCAGGGAATTATTTTTTCCTGTATCATTGATGTAGAATAGAACTTCCTGTTTTCACTACTTCTCTGTATAACTTCAATTTATGCCCACTCAGAATTAATTATACAAAGAAAAATGGATACATATTAAACTGTCTTCTGTGCCCCCAGTCTCTACTTTTGAACCCTTCTAAATCCGTGACTTTCTCTGCCTTGCTGCCCTCCTTCCCTCCATGCCCTGTAAAAACATGGAAGCATCTGGTATTAGTTAAAGTTATCAAATCATCGGCTGGGTGCAGGTGGCCTAAAACTGGTTCATTCTGAAGTATGTTGTCTTAAACTATGGATTTGTACTTTAACTCCTTTAATTTCTTACTGTAGATGAAAACATTTCTACCCTCCTGCTCTTTTTGGATAAACTAGGTATCAGCAAGTAGGCAGGAAGATTTTTCTATTTTTAATAATGAAAGGCTTAAGACTCAATTTTCTTCAGACTGTATCTGATTATATTTCCTAAGTGTTGATAAGCAGTAGTATGTTGTTTTTAAAATAACCTAGAAGTGCAGATTTCTTTTTTAATCCATTAATTAGACTAGTATTTAAAAATTTCTAATATTTGTGTCATTTTAAAATTAGTAATTTTATTTCTTTGGAAACTGAGAACACGGCATTGTGTACAGTTTATGTTTGTTTGGAACTTTTTGAAATTTTCAAATTTTCTTTGTGGCCTAATATGTTAATATTAGTTTTTACAAATGTTTCATGAATGCTGTAGAAGGAAGATATATTTTTAAAATGTCAGTACAAAGCCTGATATCCACTAATGTTATCAATTGTATAATTCCAGTCCTCCATGCTTTGTTAAGTTTTTCCTACACAGTAGGTCAGACTGAGGTGTGTGCTCTTCTAATGTGAGTAGGTTTTGGGGCACCAGTTTTCCATGCAATTCTAATACTTTTTGCATTTTGTCATATCAATTCTGTTTTTTTTTTGGAGATGGAGCCTCACTGTGTCGCCCAGGCTGGAGTGCAGTGGCGCGATCTCGGCTCACTGCAACCTCCGCCTCCCGGGTTCAAGCAATTCTCTGCCTCAGTCTCCCGAGTAGCTGGGATTATAGGTGCCCACCACCATGCCTGGCTAATTTTTTGGTATTTTTAGTAGAGATGGGGTTTCACTATCTTGGCAAGGCTGGTTTTGAACTCCTGACCTCGTGATCCACCTGCCTCGGCCTCCCAAAGTGCTGGGATTGCAGGCGTGAGCCACTGCGCCCGGCCATATCAATTCTTTTTAATCTTTCAGTGTAATGGTAGTTCAAACAGAAATTCATGCTTTTTGTGTCTTAATTATTGTTCCACTTAATACTTTTGCCTTGAATTCTATTTTGTCTTGTGTTCATATTGTCACTCTCTCCTTTTATTTTTATCTTCTTGAGATACAACATATCTGGTTGTTTTGAGAGGTAGTATCTCATTTTTTCTCCTCAATCTGAGAGACTTTGTCTTTAATATTGGGGAGGTCAATTCATTTATGATGATCATCATAAAAGATAAGTTCAGTTCTACTTGTGCCTTCTTATTTTTTGTTTTAAATGTATTCTTGCTTTTCGTGGGGGTTGGGAGGTCTGCTTTTTGTTACACATGCTGTCTTTGATGTCTTCCGTAGTGTTTGGAAGGTATCTTTTTTTAATTCTACAGTCTGGGAAAGCCTCTCAGATTAGCCGGCCACGTGAGTTGTTTCTCTGCCATTTATTGCGTCAGTTTAGCCCCTCACTGCTCTCTGTATGCATTTAAGTTCTGTTGACATTTTAGTTTCCTTCCTTATTTTGTTCATCTCCTTACATTATCCTATTATCTTTTTACCTTAACTTCTTTCTTTCATTGTGGCTCTTTGCACCTTTTTCATGGAAGTCTTTGTGCATTTTAATGTGGATATTGAAGACTTTCCTGATGCTTTCTTCTGGCTTCTGTGGTAAATAGTTTCACACTATGTATTTCTGAGTCCTTAGGATGATGATCTCATTTTTTGTTCCCTGTGCTATCCACCCACCTGCAGCAAGCACAATTTTGTTAGTTTTATTTTCTCTTTATTAAATCCTAATATATTTACTGACTGCTTCCTAGAGATACATAGGTAAATTAGACAGACTTTATTCTGTGTTTGTTTTCTGGATTTTAATTTTTCTCCACTCAGTTAATTGCATCTAATCATCAACACATCTGCCATTTATTTATTTATTTTTGCCATTTGCTTGTCTGTTCGGGTAGTTGATCTTGGACTTCCTAGGCTCCAAATCTGTGAGAAAGAAGAGAACTAGGCACCTAGTTTATGGTATTTTGTTATAGCAGACCGAATGGGCCAAGAAAATGTTAAACAAATTACTTACATTCTGTCTCTGTCCTGTCTTCCTTTTTTGTTGTTATTCTTTTAATCTTTTGAATATGTGTACAGACTCATCACTCCATTTTATTAAGCTCCTCAGACCACTGAAAGTTGTGTGACAATGCCATAAGCTTTACTCTTAAGATTAAGAAGCACAGACTCCTGAATTCAAGTTCATGAGTTCCTGAATTCATTTACCAATGTGTATTTGCAATTTTTGGTACTATGATTTGGATTGACAGATATTTAAAGGTAGTAATTTTTTTCAGTCTGATACATACTTGTTTTTAGAGTATTTTTTTTTTCTTTTGGAGACGGAGTCTCACTCTTTTGCCCAGGCTGGAGTGCAGTGGTGCAATCTCGGCTCACCACAAGCTCTGCCTCCTGGGTTCATGCCATTCTCCTGCCTCAGCCTCCCGAGTAGCTGGGACTACAGGCGCCCGCCACTGCACCTGGCTAATTTTTTGTATTTTTAGTAGAGATGGGGTTTCACCGTGTTAGTCAGGATGGTCTCGATCTCCTGACCTCGTGATCCACCCGCCTCGGCCTCCCAAAGTGCTGGGATTACAGGCGTGAACCACCGCGCCTGGCCTGTTTTTAGAGTTTTAACTTCTAAAAAAGGTAACCAAATGGGTTAGTCTGTAATGTAATTATGCCTTTTTTTTTTTTATTTTTTTTTAAGGCAGGGTCACACTCTGTCACCCAGGCTGGAATGCAGTGGTGCAGTCATAGCCCACTGCAACCTTGAACTCCTGGGCTCAAGTGATCCTCCCACGTCAGCCTCCTGAGTAGCTAGGACTATAGGTGTGCACCACTATGCCCATCTAATTTTTATTTTTTTCTGTAGAGGTAGGGTCTTGCTGTGTTGCTCAGGCTGGTCTCGAACTCCTGGCCTCAAGATATCCTCCTGTCTTGGCCTTCCAAAATGTTTAGATTATAGGTATGAGCTAGTACACCTGGCCTAATTGTGCTTCTATTTAGTTTAGAACATATGGTAACAAGGATAATGGATTTAAACCAATCTGTAAGTAATAACATTCTCTTAAAATTGCATGGAGAAAGTCGAATCCTGTTTTCTTTCTTTCTCTCTTTTTTTTTTTTTGAGATGTAGTTTCGTTGTTGTTGCCCAGGCTGGAGTGCAATGGCACGATCTTGGCTCACCACAACCTCCACCTCCCGGGTTCAAGCGATTCTCCTGCCTCAGGCTCCCGAGTAGCTGGGATTACAGGCATCTGCCACCACGCCTGGCTGATTTTGTATTTTTAATAGAGATGGGGTTTCTTTATGTTGGTCAGGCTGGTCGTGAACTCCCGACCTCAGGTGATCGGCCCACCTTGGCCTCCCAAAGTGCTGGGATTACAGGCGTGAGCCACCGCGCCCAGCCAGTCCTCTTTTCTAATATACCACCAGATAGCACCTTCTGAATCAGCCCAGCACCCTTAAAGCAGTAATTGATAGTCAGGGCTTGCCAGCTGAACACGTAACTGAGTTCTCTCTGGATCTGTGTTTTGAATCAGTATTTGAGGATGGTGTTCTGCTGTAGGAGTTGTGTAAGTTAAAAGTCTCAGATCCTGGCAAATATTTTATGAAATCAAAGGGAAAAATAAGTTATTCTTCTGATGGCCTCTGTTTTCCCAGAAAACTTAAAATTATATTGCCTTTTTTTTTGTTTTTTTTTTTTTTTGCTGCCTGGTGGCTTTAAACTATTCTTGCTCTGTTGCCCAGGCTGGAGTGCAGTGATGTGATCTCAGCTCACTGCAACCTCTGCATCCTTGGTTCAATCGATTCTCCAGCTCCAGCCTCCTGAGTAGCTGGGATTACAGGTGCTTGCCACCACACCCAGCTAATTTTTGTGTTCTGAGTAGAGACGAGGGTCTTACCATGTTGGCCAAGCTGGTCTCGAACTCCTGGCCTCAGGTGTTCCTCCCACCTTGGCCTCCCAAAGTGCTGGGATTACAGGCGTGAGCCACCATACTGTTATATGTAGTGTTGTTGAAGGAACTCTTTCTTATGAAGATTTTTCAACTGGTTTTAATATCAAATGGACTTTTAAGTATTTTTGTAATAACGATATTAATAACTTCTGTTTCATTATTAGGTTTTTCAAAGTGCCTTCCAGTTCTTAATTTGTCCCTGACTCATGTTGGGTGAATTTAACACCTTCTGATGTTTAAGGTTATCCTAGATACTAAGAATGTGGGAGAATTTTAGTTTTTTTTCCCTCTGGAAAGATGACTGTGGAGTCTAAAATAAAGTCTACAAATTCTCTCTGAATCCTAGTATCTTTATTCAAGTGTTCTTTCTACCTATGACTTTAAACTTTCAGTATTTACATGATACGGTCTTGGTTATATAATCATATCTTGTCAGTGTAATATATCCAGATAGAATTTTAAATACCAGTGGAGTTTTTTGTTCTTTGTTGGCTGTAAGGACTTAGAAATACATCAAAATTGAGAGCAGACTTTTTTATTCTAAATATTCAGAAGTGGAGTTCCTTTTAATAATTTTGACCTTGCTTACAATACTTGTATTAAATTTATGTTTAGAAACAGAGTCCTTATTTGGCATCTACTTTGCCCCATTTTAAGAGTTTCTTTTAAAAGAAGCAGTTGATGTGTTCTGACTGGTATTTGAAGAATTTAACTGATTCATTTAACTTCAGAAAGTACAGCAAAGAAAAGAAAAAGCATAGTAGAAATCTAAATTTGTGGTTTATGAAATGGAAGCATAGTTAGGGTCTTTTCTACAGTGTATCCTCTCTCAATGTATAAATACACTGTCTTAGTTATTTAATATTGATTTGTGGTGATGTAGGCTAAAGGCTGCCATCTGACATTCATATCATGTAAGATTTTCTTGCCTCACATTCTGAGGCCCACATTTTGTTTGTAGGGAAGTGACCTTTTGCTTTGCTCCTTGTTTCTTCTACTCATGGATCTCAGGCCTTAAAGTGGTGCGCATGAAGCTGTCCGGTATCAAGGTAGTTTTGGTTTTGGATGCTGTTGTTGGTAAAGAACAAGCTTCACGCTCACCCTTCCCTGCAGTTTGCAGACCCTCAGAGAGCTAAGGAGGGAAATGGAAAGAATTGGAGCATGACTGTTGCTAACACATCTTTCCTTCTGAGGAAGGAAGGGAAAGAGCAGGCAAATGTAGAAACAATAAAGATGGAAGGGGCACCCTTAGAGAAGTTTGTACCTCCTCAGTGTAGGGGCATGAAATGACACCCACAAAGAAGAGCCATGGTATTGTCTTGCTTTCTGCCTCAGTATTGGCTAACTTTCACTTTAAAGGAATTTTTAAAATTGGTAGGACATAATAAATGCTTCAATGAAGGCACCTTAGTCATCCAGCCATTTGTTCGCTTATTTAAGCAGTACTTATTGACTGCCTGCTGTGTGAATCCGGTTGTTTCACTAGGCATTGAAGGTACAAGAGGAATGTTGTTCCCATGGAATTAATACCAGTATATATATACGATTTAGTGGAGTGGGATGTTGCCGAAATGGAAGTCTGTGTAACTTGTGATGGGAGCAAGGAGGTAAGAGCAGCCAGAGGAATTATCAGAGGAGGATTGGCTTGGGCTGGGTTTTTTTCAGGCAGGCTAGCTGGGGGCAGGCATTTTAGGAAGAAGCTGCATGTAAAGACAGGAAAGGGCATATTACGTGTGAGGGTGGGGGAAGATGCATGGCAAGAGATTAGGTGGAATCATAAGGGCATCGTATGTCTTCTGGTAGAATTAAGGTTTATGGGGGACCTGTAAAGTTGAAGAGGTTTTGACTCTGATGAGATTTGAATTTTGAAAGATCATTCTGCTAGCTTTTAGATCATTCTGGTAGATGATGTTCTGGTAGACAATGAATTGGAGAGGGAAATGAAACTGCAGGTGTGATGACCAGTAAGGAAACTAGTATACTAGTTGAGATTAGGGATGATGAGGAGCTAGATGAGGCAGTATAGATAAAACAAAGAAAATGGGTGTGGTAAGTATCAAGAAGACAGAATAGATAGAATGTATTGACTAATTGGTGGGTATAGAGGAGACATCTAGGATGACTTTCCCATTTTGCCTTAAGTGACTGGGTGAGTATTAGCACCCATATCTTCCTGGTTAACCAAGTGAAATGCTACGAAAAGTTTAAGGAAGACAAGGTCTGAAAAAATGTCCACTGAATTAGGTATCTAGGAAGTCATTGGTGAATTTACTGAAATGGGAAAGTGTAATGATTCAGTCACAGTTTAAAATTGCTTGGGAGAAACAGTGGCCTTGAAGGTGTCATAGGTTTGCTGGGCAGTTCTGACTATGCAATTGCAATTGAATCATCTATTTGTAGAGGCAACGGTCTTCCCTGGGATTTTCCTTGGCCTATTTCAGCTGCCTGGGATTAGGAACAGAGAATGTAAACAAGATCTTGGCTGATGAGGAAGGAGTGGGATGGCAGAGTTGGGGTTTTGCTCACTAGGTGTGACAGGCTGGCAAGGTGTCAGACTCTTGGAGGAACTGGGAGAACAATTAGCATTGGCCACATTTTTTGCAGGTGAAGAAACTGAGGCCTGCTGATGAGTGATTTATCACAGCAGAAGGAGCATGCTTTTGGAGTAAGATAGCGCCTGACTTGATACTTATTAACTCTGTGACCTGGGAACATTATTTTAAAATCTTTCTTCACATAAATCTTCTTACTCTGCCATTCCAGATGAAGAATCTAAGAGCAGCTATTTGTGGGTGATTGTGAGGAGTAGTATGAATAAGGTTCTAGGGTTCAGAGTCAGATCCGAATTTGAATTTCAGATGTCCTTGTGTAATTTACTTGAACTCTGAGCTTGTTTCTTCATCTGTACAATGAAAATATTCTTACATGCTGTTTTGAAGCCTAAAACTACAAGAGATAATTGTAATATTTTCTTAGTATAGGGACTGGCAAAGAGTAACAGCACAGAAACTGACAGCCATTTATTATGTTGTTATTTTTACTGGGAATCTTTGGGAACAGTTGGGCTTTTCTTTCCCTCAGAATTTGTGTCAGTTACTTTATGGAGTTTCAGTAAGATAAACTGAAGATATTCAGTATAGGAGTGAATTTTCCCAAATTTGTTCTGCCTGATACTCCATATGTTTTTTCTGCATGGGGACCGTCTTCAGTTCTGGCTAGTGTTCTGCGAGTGTTAACGTGAATGCTCACGTTCTCTGTTTTCTTGCTTCTTTTTTGTTTTTCCTGTTGAATGCTTTGCTTGTTGGGTCGCCCAGTCTGTCATCCATTTAGTCTGTTTCCATACTTGTCTTTCATATTTACTGGCTTTTTATCTCTGAGTAACTTCAGATGATTTCTTCTAATATTTGCCTTGATTCTTTTTTTTATCTTTATTTTTTTACCTTTGTCAAGTCTACTGTTCAACCCATCCTTGAGTTCATTTTAATAACTATGTATTTTCCTACGTGGAATGTCTGTGTTTCTTTTTCAGAACTGCCCATTTTTATTTCAAAGTGTTCTCTTGTTGCATTATGAATTTGATTCCTTCCTTTATGTCTCAACTCTATATATTTTAAAGTCCTGTGGAGAATATTCTGTTGTCTAATATATGCTATATGAGCTGACATTATTTTATTTAGCTTTTAACATGAGTTGTCTTCCACAGGATGCAGATTATGAGATAAACATACTATGCTATGTGATGGTTATTTTGTGTGCCAACTGACATTTGGTCAGACATTCTGGGTGTATCTGTGAGGGTGTTTTTGGATGAGGCTAACATTTGTGTTGGTAAACTTGAGTATAACAGATGGCCCTCCCTAATGTGGGTGGGCCCCATCCAATGAGTTGAAAGGCTGAATGGAACAAAAAGGCTGACTCTCCCATGAGTAAGAGGGAATTTCTCCTGCCTGATATCCATGAGCTGGGACATGGGTCTTCTCCTCCCTTTGGACTCAAAGTGAAATACCAGCTGTTCTCAGGTCTCAAAGCTGCTGGCTTTCAGACAGGAACTATACCAAGGCTCTCCTGGCTCTTCAGCGTGTGGACTGCAGATCTTGGGATTGCCAGTTTCTCTCTCATACTGTTTCTATGTCTCTCCACACACTTTATTGGTCCTATTTCTGGAGAATCCTGACTAGTACAGATTTTGGTACTGGGAGTGGTTCTAGAGGAGCAGAGTTTCCAGGATGGGTTTTCTGAATGTGATTCTGGGGTTTCTAGAAGTGGCTCTCTAATCTGATAAGACTAAAATATGCTGATAACTCTTTCCAGTAGTAAGGAGAGCACTGATAGGCCATGGCATGATCTGGCAATAGAGATATACAAGATATCACCATTGGATACTCCTAACCAACCACTTAAAGCAATCAAGGATCTGGGTACTGTGTATATGATATTTTTGAACATTTTTGGTAAACTAACAAATACGGTGAGATTGGCTGGTTGTCACTGGACAAAGTGGGGAAAGAAAAGGATGAGCTCAAGCATTTTATTTTCCAGCTCAAACACCACATAAATGCCCTGAAGGCTTGTATGTGTGCCCTGAAGGAGAACCTTAAGTTGTATTAGTTGCAGGGCTGAAATGGCTAAAAAACCCAGAATCTTATCCTGTGACTGGCTGTATTATGATGCAAATTGAACTCCCAGTCTCATAGGGTGAATACTGTTAAAGGCATTGATTGGGAAGGAAGGGGGTGCCGAAAGTTGGGATGGGGATGTGTGGGAAGATCCTGATGAAGCTGGGGATATCGAACCCTAAATTCTGATGAGTCCTCTTTGCCAGTGGATGTGGCCTCTCCACCCCCAATGGGAGTAGCCTCTCCACCCCTGTTTGAGGGCATTAACCCTGCATTGTCTAAGGAAACTGTAGTGGCTTCCTTGAGGCAGTTGCTTTGTAAGATAATGCTGAGTCTACTCAGGACCCACCTTTACCACGGCTCTGTTTTTAGACCAGTAACTCCAGCAGGCTCCTAAAGGTGAAGGTTCAAGACATGACCCCTGAGAAGGTACACTACACTCCAAAATAACTACTTGAGTTTTCTAACCTATACAGACAGAAACCTGGGGAACAAATGTGGGCATGTATATTAAGACTGTGGAATAATGGTGGAAGAAACGTGAAGTTGTATCGGGCTGAATTTGTTGACATATACTCACTAAGCAAAGATTCTGCATTTAATGTTGCAGTTTAGTGAGTCAGAAAGTGCTCTAATAGTACGTTGGGTTGGCTGAACCATGGACCAAAAGGTGGCCTACGGTGATTGAATTAGAAATGCTAGACTTGGCTCATTTTAATGTAGAGAAAAGGATTCAAAGGCTTATTAGGAAGAATGAAATGTTAGAGTAGATTTGTCGTTAAAGACCTACTTGCCCACCACGGGAGGGTCCAGAAGACATGGCTTTCACAATGGTGAGAAATGCATTTGTGACGGGAGCCCCAGCATCCTGGAAGAGCTCTGTGGTTGCTTTCGTCTGTTAGGCCTTACAGTGGGAGCTGTAGTCACTGAATTGGGAAACCTAATGCAGCAGGAGCAATTGGATCCCAGGGGCCAAGTGGCAGCGCTCAGCCTGTGGTGTTGGCTAGTTCATCCTGTGTGTCTAATGTGGGTAGGTATCACCAGGTATTTGAAGTCCTGAATAGAACAAAGGTTGACCCTCTTAACAAGTAAGAACTCTTCCTGCCTGACTGTCTTGAGCTGGGACATGGTCTTTTCCTCCCTTTGGACTCAAATTAAAATGTTATCTCCTTTTGGTTCTTGAACCTGTCAGCTTTCATGCTGGAACTTACACCATTGGCTCTCCTGGGTCTACAGCTTATTGACTGCAGATCTTGGGACTTCTCAGCCTCTATAATCACACGAGCCAGTTTGTTGTAGTAAATCTCTCTCTCTCTCTCACACACACACACACACATAGACACACACATGTTGTTGGTCCAGTTTTCCTGGAGAACCCTGACTAACACAGCTATTTAGTGTTTGCCTCTCCTGGACCCTGTGGACCTGCTCAAGAATCCCACATGATGTGAGTGGGCTTGGAAATCTGACTTTTCCTTGGTGATTCTCTTTCCACCTGAGAATCAAGGCAGATGACAGGATTTCTGACACTTCCCTTGCTTGTAGGCAATTTTTATAGTCCCTGTTCACTGTTAGGACAGTTTATTATTGTCACCTGGGCCTATTATTCAGCATTATAAAAGTAGCCTCCTAGGCACATGTCATCGGTCGTGATTGAATATATCAAGAACTTGTCCAGACTTTCCTTACGACAGTTTACATCAGCTACACTACAGTGTGCAAGGATCAATGAGAAAATGAGAGAGCTGTCTAGATCAGTGGGCTGTTGCTCCTCTAATTTTTTATTTTTTGATGTAGTCCCAGAGCCGATAGAGTGAGTGAGAGGGATGGCCACAAGGAACAAAGGATGGCAGGAATGAACTGAAATTGCAGTGGCCCCAGAGCTTGGAGAGCAGGAGGGAACTCGGTTTCCTGTGGAAGCAGTGTGGGTGGGAAGTATGCATCACTGCTGCTGTCTCCTCTCAACCCAGGGCCACTTCTTAGACGTTACTTATCTCATGGGTCTCACTCAAATCTGGTAATGTAGGGAAGCACCAGGAAAGTTTTGTGTGTGTGTGTGTGTGTGTGTGTGTGTGTGTGTGTGTGTGTGTGTGTGTTGGAATGTTATGAAAACCTGATATTTTTATTCTATTATTTGAACCAGGAATAATTTTGCTAGCAATAAGTAAGACTGTTTTAAGTATGAAGTTTAAAATTCTAACCCTGAATACATGAGACTAGAAAAAACAATAAGGTCTACTCCTTTTTTCTGCTTCCTTTTAGCAGACAAGTACTTTCAAGCCCCAGAGGTATAAGGAAAAAATTATGGGAAAGAACTTTGGAAACAGATGTCTATTATTTGATTTGAGCCACAGAAAGCCACAGTCTTAATTAGTGGAACCCTGGTGTTCCATGGGAGGAGATTTTGAGAACCACCAAACTTGTCTAGTCAGTTCCTTGTCACCATTGCAAAAACTGGCCTCCCTACGCTGTGGCTTACTCACAATTCCCAGGTCATGTAGCTTGGGGCAGAAGCATGATTAGAACCTAGGCACCCACAGGTATTCTTTCTGCTCCTTGGAAAATGGACTTCCTTTATTTTTAAAATAGGCATTGGAATGTATATCTTGGTGTGGCTCTGGGGCCAGTTTAGTCTCAAGAGATTTTTGTCTATGAATGCAGTGACCTTATCAAGCATAGACAATTTCCTGTGTCATTAAGATGTTCCTTGGCAGAATATTATTTTTCTTGGTGAATATATTGTGGTATAAAACATGCATAGAGAACCAGCTCTGTTTTTTTCTGAGTGAATTAGCTGTATTGTAGCTTATCTGTGGCAAGATCTTGCTTTTGAGTTTATTGACAGTGACTCCTGTCATTAGTGACTTGCTTGAATGAGGTCTTGGCTTTCTCTCCTTTTATTTTGACTTTTTAGCAGTCTGAGTCACAGCCAGGAAGTCCTTTGAAACCAAACCCTTAGCCCTTTTTTGTGTTTCAGGGACAGTTTGGGAAATGTCCCTTAAAGGGGTCCTTTGGTTTCTCTGTTGGGTCCCTTATCTTTTTCACCAGCCCCACGTAGGTCCTTGTTCTGTCCTAGACTGATTGGTTTGAAGGTCACAGTGGGGAATTGGGGGTTCCCCCACCACCTCTGGGTCAGCACTTTATAGCACAGTTTTATTAAGATGTGGAAAATGAATTTTCAAATCCTCAAGTACACCCAAATTGAAACAGAAAACCTCCAAGAAACACTGTGAAGCTTCCTGAGGGAAGCTGTCAATCCTCTGATAATTCCTAAATCTTGTCCCAGTACTCATAAGATGTCAGATGGTAGATACAGTAGGTGCACTGAAAGCACCTGTGGTCAGTCGTGTCATTTGTTACTATTTAACAGCTTGTTTCAGTCAGTGAGCAAAACTAACATATACACAGAACTAAAGATTTTATACTTTAAAATTATCTTAGCATATAGGCCGGGTGTGGTGGCTCACGCTTGTAATCCCAGCACTTTGGGAGGCCGAGGCAGGCGGATCACAAGGTCAGGAGATCGAGACCATCCTGGTGAACATGGTGAAATCCCGTCTCTACTAAAAATACAAAAAATTAGCTGGGCGTGATGGTGTGCCCGTAGTCCCAGCTACTTGGGAGGCTGAGGCATGAGAATTGCTTGAACCTGGGAGGCAGAGGTTGCAGTGAGCCGAGATCACACCATTGCACTCCAGCTAGGGCAACAGAGAGAGACTCCGTCTCAAAAAAAAAAAGTTAACATATAATCCTTTTGACAAAGTTTATTAAAAATAATTCTTTCAAAGAGCTTCAGGGTATGGTCATTGATTATTCAGCTTGAAAGAATAAAGAAAATATATTTAGAGAAGTGGTATTTATTGGAATATTTGCAGTCTGTGCTCATTCAGTAAATTGAGTTTGAACAACAATACATCAGAGTCTTTGGTCAGGTGTGGTCGTGGCTCATGCCTGTAATCCAGCACTTTGGGAGGCCGAGGTGGGTGGATAGCTTAGGCTCAGGAGTTGGAGACCAGCCTAGGCAACATGGTGAAATTCCATCTCTACAAAAAATTAGCCAGGTGTGGTGGTGTGCACCTCTAGTTCCAGCTACCCAGGAGGCTGAGGTAGCTGGAACTACCTGGTGGTTGAGGCTGTAGCGAGCCATGATGGCACCACTACACTGCAGCCTGGGCAACACCTGTCTCAAAATCTTCATAGACTTATATAACAACCATGACAATTGAATGACATTTTTCTACAACTTGAAAATTTGTCTTTAAAAAGAATCTATTTTAAAAAAGAGTTAATAAAGTTGGAGTTTGGTGTCAGACCTAGGTTGATTCCTAGTTCTTTCTAGCTGAAAAGTGTTCCACCTATAAAATGGGATCATAGTAGTGCTTATCCATTATATCTTAGTGAAGATTAAATGTTAGAAGCTGTGTTACATATTTAGTGCAAGGCCTGGACACTCTCTGTTAATGTCAGCCACTGTCACTCTTCTGATGAGAAATTGTTATCCGAACTTCACTCTTCTCAGAGTTCAGATATGATATTTTGGCTGAACTTGCAATTTAGAAAGATAAAAACTATCGCATGTAGTAAAAATCTGTTGGAAAATATAGTACTACTTTTCTTTAATGGGGGAGAAGTTTATGTTTTTCTTTGAAATATGTTAATATTTAGGCTTAAATTGTTCATAGTTGCTTTCTATTAACTCTAAAAGATTGAATGATTTTTTCAGCCCAAGATTTTTTGTAGGTTTCGTTGTTAATTTATGCTCCTGTGCATGGTGCTATATAATATGACTATAAAATTGCATATTTTATATATTACAGTTGACCCTTAACACGGGTTTGAACTTTTTTTCAATAAATATATTGGAAGATGTTTTGGAGATTTGTGACAATTTGAAAAAACACATAGATGAACTGTGTAGCCTAGAAATATTGAAAAAATTGGCCGGGTGCTGTGGCTCACACCTGTAGTCCCAGCACTTTGGGAGGCCAAGGCAGGCAGATCACCTGAGGTCAGGTTCGAAACCAGCTTGGCCAACATGGTGAAACCCCATCTCTAGTAAAAATACCAAAATTAGTTGGGCGTGGTGGCATACGTCTGCAATCCCAGTTACTTGGGAGGCTGAGGCAGGAGCATTGCTTGAGCCTGGGAGATGGAGGTTACAGTGAGCCGAGATCATGCCACTGCACTCCAGCCTGGCCGGCAGAGCAAGACTCTGTCTCAAAAAAAAAAAAAAAAAAAAAAGAAAAAAAGAAATATTGAAAAAATTAAGAAAAAGGTATGCCATGAATGCATAAAATGTATGTAGATATTAGTCTGTTTTGTCATTTACTCTCATAAAATATACACAAATCTATCATAAAACGTTAAAATTGGCTGGATGTGGTGGCTCATGCCTATAATCCCAGCACTTTGGGAGGCTGAGGTGGGCGGATCATGTGAGCCCAAGAGTAGGCAATTAGCAGTTAAATTTTTGGGATCAGAAGTTATCTGAGGATTTCTGACTGCACAGGAGGTCGGTACCCCTCTGTCTCCTCCCCCTCACATTGTTCAAGGGTCAACTATACGTAGAAGGAATTTTTAAAAATAACTTTTTTGGCCTAAATTTAATATGTATCCCCAAAGTTGGACTTAGTTTAACTTAACATGTGATAGAAACACTGGAAGTGTTGACTTTCATGAAGTGTCGCAATTCTAAAAAATTGAGGAAAAATTCAGTACATATTCAGTACCTGTGTTTATCCAGAGCACATAATTACTTATCTTCCTTCTAAACCCCAACCTAATGTTCAGTGATTTCTTTTCTTGTGAGAGTTAAGCTTGATGCTTTTTGATGTAAGTAGGTATACTTGTCAAAAACAGCTAAGAACTTGGCTCACCTCACCGCCTCTGGCAGCGTAAGGAATTAACCACCGTGGACACTGTGGGGAGGAAGCATCATTGATGCCGGTTGGCAAAGGAAAGGCCATAGTCAGCGCATCCATGTTGCCACTGCTTTGAGTGAGCGCTAGGGGGCGGTAAGAAGCGATTCGCTAAGTCCCCATCCTAACTTTCCCCACTTTCTTGCCCCAATACTGAAGGGAAGTCAGACCAAATATCTTGATAAACAAAAAGTGGCCAGCAGATAGCCAAAGAGGTTTTTACTAAGGAGTGAGCAGTTTTGATTTGTGATTCTTACTGAGGTTGGAAGTTCCTATTTTGATGTCTTCTGAAACATTATCACTTCCATTTAACTGATGGGGAATGCCATTTTATTTTAGCATCTAGATTATTTATTTGAGGTTGATTGGAAATTTTGCTTTACAATTCTTTTTCATTTTTCAGAAAAACCAGTTGTCACATATTTATGCTTTACTTTTGTGTTGTATTTTTACCAAACTGTAGGAAGTACTTTTTTCAATTATAAATTAAGGAATCCCTCCCAGAGCAGTTACATGAATGTCAAATTGAGATAGCCTTTGAATTCTGTTTCCCTTATGCGTACATATGTTTTATTTTGCTATTGTTTTTAAACTATTATATATGTATGTATATATGTATATAGCATTACTAGAAACTATTTTGCTATTGTTTTTAAACTATTATATATATAGCATTACTAGAAACTATGAAGGGAAAATAAAAGCTGGAACCAGCAAGGTGATGAAAAGGCCACTGTGGGAGTTGAACATGAAAGAATGGTGCTTTCATGAGGAAGGAGGTATTGATGTGGTTTTGGGGGCTGAGGTTTGTTTTTGTTTCAGCTACCATCTTAGAGACAATAGTGAATCAGAACTGTATCAGGCAGGCAGATTTTAATGCCCATTTCCAAACAGAGATGTCTCTCTTAGATACTCAGGGAAAGAGTCACATAGACCATCTGTATTTGTTCTGCTTCTCATTTTACCCTTGAGGAATGAAGGAATTCTGTTGAACAGTGCCAGCATTAGTTTAGGCTGAAACATATAATTGTATTGAGTAATAAAGGAATTTTAAAATTCCTGTTTTTTCCTGTGGCTCTCTTTCACAAAACAGGCTAATGGTGAAATACTTTTGCAAGTGTTCCCATTCATCTCTGGCTGATGCAAGATGCCTAGTGCCTTGTGGTTTCCTAATTACTGAAGCCCTAATTTCTTTGGCAAATCTCTCCCCTATAGATTTCGTTTTGGTAGTGAAAATTACTCACAAGACAAGATGAGCACTGGCATCTCTGGTCTGGTTAAGGCAACATCTGGATGCTGAGATTAGCCATAGGGATGGGTCATCTTTTCTACTCAGGTCAGCAGATTAGTTGTCCTTGGTCAGTGGGCTGAGACATAGATTTCTTACCACTTACTTGTTTCCTGGCTCACTTAAAATGAATCAAAGACAATAGCTTGCATTCTACCGCAGAAATTAGCAATCATATTGCCCACAGTCAGAAAGAAGACAAAGAATTTGAATGCACTTGACTATCTTAGTGGAGGTCTCTAGAAACTTATTGCCCAAAGTAGGGTTTACAGATAAACTGTCCTCTGAGAGCCTGTAAGACATGCAGAGTCTCTGGCCCCTGCCCAATCATACTGAAATTAGAACTTTCATGTTAATAAGATGTCAAGTAATTTGGATGCACAAGTAAAGTTTGAGAAGCTCTGCTCTAGAACATAAGTCTATGAAGACGATCTGTGCTGTGCTACAGTTATAAATGGAGTTTTTAGTGAGTCTGTCAGTCACTGCAGTACTTTTTACAAAAGGTAAATTCCTCTGGAATATGAAGGAATAAAAGTTTATTATATACACAGGTAGAAAAAAAATCTGAACTAGTTTTTCTGTGATTTTTAAAATAATTTGTTGATAGTTTTATGTTCAATGAATTTAGCAATATGTACAGAGAAAACTGTGGCATTTGGCTTTCTTAAAATCCTGAGACCTTTTTCCTTTCTTCTCATTTTAACAGAACATTGAAGAAAGTATGGGTTTATATATGGCATATGTAAAGAAAATAGATGTATATTCAGAAAGGAAGTTTAAAAGTTCTCATGCACAGAGATAAACATAATATCTACCCCGAGACATATTCATCTTTTAAAAATAGTGATGTTTTGAATCATAATCTCAGTTCTTACCTTACTTTAGGAAAAAAAGAAAGTAATTTGCTTTGTTGGTCATATTTTGAAATTTAAGTTTTTTTTATTTCTTAAAACAAAGTATCACTACACTTAATATTTTAATAGTTATCAAAGAAATGTTCTAAGACTATATTTGTAAAAAAACAGTGACTTAAATTTGTTGTGAAAGTCATTATTTGCTTGTTTGCCTGATTCTCTTTTGTTTTCTTATTAATCTCACCATTTGTCGAGCATGTGCTGTGGGCTGATACTGTGCAAGGCAGGCAGGCTTGCCTTTGATTTTCTTAAAAAATCAATATCCTTTTTCAGTAAAAACATCTAAAAAAATTCACCGTGATAGTGACGTAGAGATAATTGCATTACCATAGGAAGGTGTTTTTTTGAGTGACAATTAGTCTGTTGCTAGTTTTCCTTTCACACCTTTACCTTGAAATTATGACATGCAACATACAAACAAATATGGGAGAACCAGCTTTTCAAGACGCTCTATAATATATTTATAATTTTCTAAGCCCCGAATCAGAAAGTGGTATCAATTGAAAATATTTAAAGCAAGAAAACACTATATTATCCATCTATTTAGATTTTTCTTGACATTTAGGAAAGCTAACAATTATTCTTCCTTCCTGGAATCATTAAAAAAAGTAACCCTAATAGTCAAGTCTAATAAATGTAAAAAACAATGAGCGATTTAAATTTTCTTTTGTTGTGGGTTTATTTCTTTATACCTGAGTTTGATTTTATAAGTAGGTTAGTTTAAAATATCTTTTCAAATCATGGCTGTTGTATCTGGTTTCATTTACGTAATTTAGAATTCGCATTTGGGAAATCTTCACGACCTAATTTAAAAATACTTTTCAGCAGAGATACTGATTCTTATCCTTCATTTCAAGAAAGAGCAAACAGCTTGATGGAGCTGCTGCTTAAGAGGAAACTGGTATCATGGCTATTCTTCTTACACATCATTTTTCTTAAGGATATGGTATCCCAGAGTGCTCCATTAATACGCAACTCCTGTGAACGTGGTGCCTGAATTTGAAAAATTTAAAACAATTATATTCTTATCTGCTGCTTGGTACACACTAATCTTCTCCTGTCAGTCAGATGCAATTAGGTTGAAATGTTGATCTGTCATATATTGGTGGTAAGGAAGTAAAATGCTTCCTTTTAAATGGAGGAACTGTGAGAGAGGTCCAAAATAAATTTTGGGCCTTTGGTCACAAGGTTCAGCCACAAAAGACATCCACCCAAATGGTAATTACCTTTTATGTCATGCCGTGAATCCACTTCATTTCTGGAAACTGTCCAATTTTCTGTTTGTTTTAAAATTAATTATTGGGGAAAAATCATAGTCTTTTTTGCAGCTTCTCAGCTTTTGTGTTTTGTCTGTTAAAATATAATTACTAGGAAATAGTAAAGATAAACTTGGTTGTAGATAGTCTTCTGAGTGTTAAGGACAAATATCCTTATGATTTGATATCTTTGCATTATATCAGATTGGGCATATAAAGCCTCATTTAAAGATGTTAATTTGTTTGCTTTTTTGAAGTGGTCGACATTTATCAAGTATTTGTGCCAGTATGGGAAATGTATATAAAAAATGAAGTATGATACATGTCTTATGGGTTGAAAAAAGATAATGTTGTGAAAGAGTTATCAGCCTCTTTAAAGGTTGAATATTAGCCTTAACCATATGAAGTAGGTAAAAATCTGTAGAGTGTTGAATACTGGAATTTTATATTGTTCAACTTTTTATATTATTCTTGGAATAGATTGGTTTTTGTCTTTTTTTTTTTTTTTTTTTTTTTGCATCTCTTCAATAAGAGGCTTTTGTTGAACTCGTCTTTAGCCAAATGAAATTCAGCACAGGGTTGGGTCTGGCCAAAAGTTCAGGTCGTTAGTGATAAAAACTTTGAAAAATCCAGCTTTTCTCTGATCGGTCATATAATTGCATATCTGGGCATATGTTTATTGAAGTAATTATTATTAATACTATAAACCCTAGAATTAGTCAAGAGAACAACGTTTGGGTGGCACCAGACAATGAATGTCTGGAGTCGAGTGGCCTAAGTTTAGGTGGAAAAACCTTTTTCTGAATTTGAGTTGGAAAAGAATTGGTGCATACTTGTGGTCACTGCCTTTCTTTCCTATTTTATATGCCAAAATCCAAATTACAGATTTTAACCACTTCCCAGTATCTTAATTTAATTTTGAATATGAGTACTTTTTGAACATTACTTTTTGTATGTTAGTTAATGTAAATTATTAACAGCAATCTGAATAGAAAAGAAAATTTATTTTAAATGTTATTTTGCTGTTGGATAGAATTTCTGAAATAGAAGTAAATGCGTTCCCAAATAGGGTTGTTGTATGTATTCACAAACCATTTTTCTTTTAAGTCAGAAAAATGTGGACTGGGCCAACAGCTGAAGAAGAAAGACTAAATATACTTCATGGTTTTTCCATTTTTGTGTCTAAAATCTACCCTGAAATATAAAAATCTTTTAATTTAAATTTTCAATAAACATGATTGTGACTTGGAATTGTGCGTGTTGGGAAGAATAATTAGTTGAATGCTTGAATATAGAAACATAAAAAGCAACCTTCATGCATCCTTTCTTACTTTTCTTTTTAATGAAAGTATTGTATGGACAAGGCAAAAATCAAACTGTATATAAAGTCTCTCTGGTCACATTTATCCCTAGTGCTATATCTTCCCTTCAGAGTATAATTTTTGGTATGTTTTCTAGCAATACTAGTGTCTAACCTCTACAAATTTCTGTAAACGTTATATTCTGCATACAGTTCTGCCTTTTGCTGGAATAGACATTCTTGTTCTTGCACATGTATATAACTTGTCGTACATTTTTGAGTATATTCTTAGTCTAAAATTCTTAGCTTTGGAATTGCTGGGTCAGAGGGTAATTTTTCTTCTCTAAAAGTATCTCTACCAATAGCATATGAAAACACCTTATCACAGTGGGGTTTAGATAACTTTTTTTTGTCAGTTCAATAGGTGAACAATATAGTATTTCATTTTGATTTATATTTATTTCATTTTGAGTAGGGATCAGTATCTTTGCCTGTAAATCTGTTTATGAGTTCATTTATATATGAACTCATTTCTCTTAATTGCCTGTTCATCAACTGCCATTTTCCCTACTGGACTGTTGTTATGTTTACTTTTCATATTGGACACATTCTTTGTTTATTTGGACATTAGTTCTTTTTGTTATATTCATAAATTTTTTCCCTCCAGTTTGTCATTTGCTTTTTAATTATTTGGTATTTTTTGGCCCTACAGAAGTTTTTAGTTTTCCTATAGCCAGTCAGATTATCAGTCTTTTTCCTTTATGATCTCTGGATTTTGTGTCCTTCTTAAAATATTCCCTGGTCTAGGGTTGTAAATGCGTTTATCCAGCCTTTTTCTAGTATTTTATCATAAAATTTCCTTTTTAACCTTTGTTGTATCTGAAAGGTCTTTTGGCATAAAGAATGAAGTAGGGCTGTAGCTTTACTTGCTTCCTAAAATGTTGTTTCCAAGCATAATTTATTGAATAGTCCATTGATTAAAAGATGCTACTTTTGTCTTTTTTATTTATTTATTTATTTTGAGGAGGAGTCTTGCTTTCTTGCCCAGGCTGGAGTGCAGCGACTTCCGCCTACTGGGTTCAAGCGATGCCCCTGCCTCAGCTTCCCAAGTAGCTGGGATTACAGGCGCCCACCACCACGCCTGGCTAATTGCTACCTTTATCTTATACTACATTCCTGTATGTATTTGGGACTGTATCTAGATTTTGATTATATCATTGGTATCTCTGATATAGTTATATTTTCATAATACATAATTTTTATGATTAAAATGATTCTATCCTTTTAATATTTTTTAAGATCTAGGTTATCCTTGCATATTTATATGACTCCAACATATAATTTTGTCACCTGTCCAAATTTTTGTAACTTGTTGTTTAATTAAACTTAAAGTTAATTAGAGTACAGTGGATTTCTTCATGATGTTGAATCTTCTAATCCAGGAGCAAGAATTTTCTTCCAATATTTAAAAATATTTTCTGTTTATACATCTTAGAAGAGCTTAAAGTTTTCTTTATATTGTTCCTATTAATATCTTGTTAACTCCATTTTAAGTGTTCAAATTTGTTGCTAGTATAAATAGGATATTTCCTCCCAGCATAATTTTCTTGAATGTTATCATTTTTAAATTTGGAAACTCCTGATTTTGAATAATAATTTTGTAGCCAGTTAATAAATTCTTGTGTTTTAGGTATACAGTTATATCATCAATCAAATGATAATTTTAGTCTTCTTTTTCTTTCTTTTATTTAATTGCATTGGCTAGTAGCAGTAACAAATTCTACGTTTTTTAAATACTATTAAATTGGCCTATAAAGTGCCTTGAATGAATTCAATTTGATTTTAAAGAGCCTTTCAGAAAGGTAGTCTTGAGTTTAGTTTTGTATTTAATAAAGGACTTTAAACATCATTCTTAAATAAAGTCAAAGTATAAGGAACTAAAAAATGTGGACTTAGGTATTTGTTTACTATATTGATATTTTCAGATTAGAGAACTATCTGTGTTTATGACATTGACCTGTCGACTTGTGTGTGGCCTTCAACTATGATGGACTTTCTAACAGAACATGTCATCTTTAATTTGAAAACCTGGTACAGATTAGCAAATGCCAGTTTAGGCCAGTGTTTCTTAAAACTATTGGTAAGGTAACATGAAATATTTTAAGGGGTACATTTAAAAATAATAGTTATATCTAATTTTAATTTGTCATAAGAAAAAATCATATACCCATTTCTTACCTGTGTGTTAATGGTTGACATTTAGTTAGAACAAGATTAAGATGAATGGATTTAAAGAAAAATTTACAGTACACAGATGTCTTAAATTCTTAAAGAGTATGAGAAATTGATTGAAATATAGAAAACCCAGTTTTAGATTAATATTAAGGTGCATAAATTTTCAGAGATAAAGAGTAGGTTTTTTGCATATTTTGTTAATAGCAAGGCTTAGTAAATAACAGTACTGGTGATAATACTGAAGATGATTATGAGTAATAGGTTACACTAAGAGCTTTTATACATTATCTCAGAAACTGATTACAAGAATTTACCTTCCTGGCATTACAGTCACAAAGACATATAGCTTACTTGTACCAGATTACATAGCTAGCAAATGGCTATATTGCTCATGTATTGTAAATTTTATTTACTCAGAATTCACTCCAATTCATATTTACATGAGATAATTATTTTTACAAGTTATATTTGCTTTTGGGGATCTTCAATGAAAATAAAATAAAAAAATTGTTTTAAGTTTTTGATTTTTAATTTTTGTGGGTACATATTAAGTGATTTATGGGTTACATGAGATATTTTGATACAGGTATGCAATGTGTAATAATCACATCAGGGTAAATGGAATGTCCATCATCTCAAACATTTATCCTTTGTGTTACAAACAACCCAATTATACTCTTTAATTTTAAAATGTATAATTATATTATTTTTGATGATTGTCTCCCTGTTGTGCTAGCAAATACTAGGTCTTATTCTTTCTAACTATTTTTTGTACCCATAAAATTAAATATTTTAAGCTAATATTACCTTATAGACAAATACATGAAAGTAGTTTGTCTCGTTAAATCTAGGGATATCGCTAATAGTTCAGGCATTTCTAAGGGAAATTTGCCAGTGTAAAAGCAGTCTAATCATATTTCATTCATAATTTCCAAATATTCAAATTAGCTAGAAGCTGTGAACTTTGACTGTGGTCTGTATAAATTTTTGTGGAATAGAGATAGCTTGTATTAGGTATCATATAATTAAAGATAGAAGTGTTGATAACAGAAGTGGTAGTCAGCCTAAGCACTTTTAAATTTACTGAGTAATTAGAACTCAGTTTATGGCCAAAATCTTCAAAGTTTGCAGAAACACCCCATCTTTTAAATATTCTTTAGTTTAAGATTGTTGTGGATTCTTAATCTGAAATAATTGCTTCTTATAGGTGGAAATAATTTTAGAGATTACTTTAGGGTGTGAAGCCCTAATTTTATAGATGAGAAAACTGAAGCCAAAAGAAGTTAGTGGTTTTCCCACAGGACATTGTTATAAATGGTAAAGCTAATCTGATACTGGAATCCACATCCCTAGAATTCCATGGAGATAGTTTCGTGTTAGTGGGAGAGGTAGACTTTATAGCCAGAGGCATTCCACTTAGTGAAATTTTATTTTTATGTTTAAAAATTTTTATTTTTTTAAAATAGAAAGGAGTCTCACTGTGTAGCCCAGGCTTTTCTTGAACTCCTGGGCTCAAATGGTCCCACCTCAGCCTCCCAAAATGCCAGGATTAGAGTCATGAACCACTGCATCTGGCCTTAGTGAAATCATTAATTTATTTCACCTTGATCAGAAGTTGGTGATTTCATTGTCATTCTAGTCAGTTCCAAATACCGTTAATCTGTATATACCTGTTCCTAAATGAAAATTATTTTACAAGTACTTGATCTTCTCTCACAATACGTACTAGATGGAATGAGTGTTTTTTCAAGGAAATAATAAAATACTTACAAACTGTAAGAATACTGGGTCGTGGCAGTGTTTGCCTTGAGCATATTGTTAATATGATTAAAAATATCAGGACTCAACCTATACAGCAAACCAAAATAGAGGGTCTTTTAAAATTTTTCTGTTATTTCCAGGATATAAGGTAATTTTAAGACATGTGAAGAAGATGAAAAAAAGAAAGAGAAAGCTCCCAAGCAAAAAACCTTGGGACTTAGTTAATGCACACAATCCTGGCTGGAATCTGCTGTGTGTACTCAGTCTCCCCACAGCTTGTAAAGTCAGTTAAATATAGTCACCGTTGGGTTCTGGGGACGAGCAAATAGGAAAAGAAGGGAAAGCTGGAGGCGTGTTGTAGAAATACACTTCAAAGTAATTTATTCTAACGCTTTTTAAAGCCCTCTTTGTAAATGCACTTTTAAATAGTAGTTCTGTTTCCTTGAATCCACGCAAGAGCATAAAATAGACTGGATTCAGAACTGGCGTGGGAATATTGTCAGCTCCATTACTGCCTGTGTTGGGACAGCTGCTCTGCTCCACGCTGCCTAGTTTCTTTTAATGGACCTAGGTTCAGGTGGCTGAAAAAGCCATTCTGTGGTAGACGCCTCACATAATCCTTATGTGCGTGTTTATTGTGTGTGCCTGTTCATGGGAGTTCTGTGGCAGTTAAATTGTCCACCCAGGATTTCCAGACAGAAGGAAACACACATGTAAGTGATGCAGTATTTGCTGGTGGTGTGGCTAAAAAAATAAAAAGTCAATACACCTTGTTCTCTTTACATTCATTTTAATGAAATCAACAAAACTGATGCTCTCTTCAAATCAAACCACTGGCTGTTCAATGATTTTTCCAATTAATAAGAATATATAGTTGCCTACCTTTTTTTTCTGTGAGCTAAGCATTCCAAGATAAAGCCCTTAATCATCTTAAATTGTCGGGGATAACTTTGAGCAAGCAGAAGAAATGTTATGTGCGTCTATTTTTATTCTTTTCCGTATTTTATGTCATCAAGGTCTTGCTTTCCTCATTGGTGAAGCAGTTATATTAGGTGATCCCTCAGGTGCTCTCCATGTCTGATGTGATGATTCGTAACCATGCTGTGGAAGCCTGCTGTATCAGCGGTACCTGCATGTTGTACCTCTAGGGTAGGGTGCTTGTGTTACAGTGCAGTCCAGATGAGCAGTTTCTCACGTGTTCTACCGTATTGCTGCATGTCCGTGAATGGTGCTCCCATAGACTTACTCAGATTTGGGGTTTTTATGAAACACAGCTTCCTAAACTTCACCTCTTTGACAAAGCTGATATAATACACAGGATGTAATAATAGGTCTTTGAGAACCTTCCATCAAGACTAACTTCAGGCCGGACGTGGTGGTTCATGCCTGTAATCCCAGCACTTTGGGAGGCCAAGGCGGGCGGATCACCTGAGGTCAGGAGTTGGAGACCAGCCTGGCCAACATGGTGAAACACCTGCTCTACTAATAATACAAAATTAGCCAGGCGTGGTGGTGCATGCCTGTAATCCCAGCTACTTGAGAGGCTGAGGCAGGAGAATAGCTTGAACCCAGGACGTGAAGGTTTCAGTGAGCAGAGATCACACCATTGCACTCCAGCCTGGGCGACAAGAGGTAAACTCCATCTCAAAAAAAACAAAAACAAACAAACAAACAAAAACTTGATAGATGTGAATACAAACTCAGAGATCAGAGAATGCTTGTAAGTCTCATATTTATACTTTGCTGCCCGGCTTACGACTTGGAGGTGCATGTTGAATCACTGAATAGATCTATTAACTGGAGGTGTCCACACTGCAAATCAGAATTTGCCACACTTGGCTTAGTCATACCAGCATTTAATTTATTTTGGATCAGCCCTTCTAGCAAGGAACTTAAGGTTTTACTACTCTAAAAATGCTTTTGAAAAGTTATTTACCCTGTTGCTCACTCAACGTCTGACAAAAATGTGAAAGTGTTTCCAGGAATAGTAAAAATGTGTTTCAAAACACAGGACTGAAACAGGGAGTTTAATTCTATGGTATGGGTGCCGCACTTTGAGAATGTCTAATATACAACAACCTTTTTAGAGGCTTTTACCCAAGATTCTACTCCTAACGTATTTCAAATGTGAGTCAATATATAAATATTTTGTTAAGACAACTTGTCAGCAACACATCTGTGTCATTATGCATAAAATGCAACTACTTTTAGTTTCTACGTTGTGGAATTATCTAGTATGCTCAGGGGACTTGCTCTAAATTTAAAGCATGTACTAGGCTTGGATACATCTTTACATTTTTTTGAGTCTCTTAAAGAAAAAGGTCTGTGTTTTGTAGCATGATCTGCTTTGTAAGCATCTCATTAAGAAATGAATCCCTGTGAGAAATACAAGCTTGTTGCTCTTCTCACTTGATGGATGGTGGTGGCATGTATGTGGAGAGGGGAGGGATAAATTGATAAATGTAGGGGACTCTAGAGTGATGATCTGGGAATGATGCAGAGGTTTCCAATGTCTTAACGCCAGACTGGAGATAATTAATGCTAAGGTTTCAAAATTATAGGAGTCCGATGTCTAGGTCTTTCCTTCCCCATTTGGAATTTTATCAAAATATCCTTTTGGACCAAATCACTGGAAACTTTAGGTTCAGAGTCTTATGCATCTCTTCTGGGCTAGCAACCAATGTCACGTACTGCTGAAATTAGGGACGCTAAACGTGTATGTGAGTGGGGGCAAGCTAGTATTGGTTTTCTACTCTTGGCAGAGTCTGCTGTGTCAGAGGTTTAAATGGTTACCATTTTGATTATCTTCATGATTTGTTTCAGACCATCGCTCTTGCATTTTGGCCAACCGGTAACTTTTTTAAGGTTTCATCAAAACCAAACAGCTTTCTGAATAGTACTGTTTTTCTCTTCATCCCAGTATACTGCCTTTGACTCTACAATAGTAAAAGAAAATAAACATCTTGAGTTTAAGAATCAACTGGGTAAGTATAAGTCAAATAGGACTCCTATTTTCCTTCACCTTTGGTCCTGCAGTGCCAGTTAATGGTGTACCAGATCTATCAGCAATATCCTCTTTCCAGTCTTCATACCCTTGGGATGCACCGTTCTTTCTACCAAGAATAATATCACTTTCCTCTTCTCTGCTAAGTAAGTTCCTTTCCATCTCCAAAAGGCTGGCTGAAAATTTATCTTTAGGAAGACTTTGCTGTTAGATTGTACTTAACAGTTAACTCTTCCTTTGTTCCATTTAGGGGGAAAAATTACTTTGTGTATTGTAGTAGAAGGCACTCTGAGGAAAGAAGATCAACACTTTCATACCCCTTCAGGAACTGATTGTCTAGCTGAAGAACCAAGAAAAAAATCAAACATCCCTACTATAAAGACATTTTGAGAGGGGCGTGTTGTTAAAAAGCTTGTTTGAGTGTGCAAGAATACAGAGTACAAAAGAAGTTAATTATAGCAAAATACTTGAGTGAGCCGTGGAATTTGGCCCTTTCTGATAGTATCATAAGATCACAAAGCTTTAGGGCTACAAGAGTCATTAGAGATCATGTAATATAACATAATTCCTGTCTGTGAGTATTTTGTTAATGCCGGAGACTCAAAATGCCCAAAACGAAGTATAATCTTTTCCCACCAAACCAGCCCACCCATTTTTACCATTCTTCAGTTAACTCGACTGTCTTCCTTCCTCTTGCCCTGTAACTGTTGACTTTGCCCATCCTTTATGTGTTCATATCACTACCCTTATTTAGGAACTTAACCACCTTCATATGTCTTCAAGGTATATCCTACATCTTGCGGTATGAGCAACTTCAACATTGGAAAATAAATGACTGTTGATCTTGTAAAGTGGTTTTACCAATTTACAGTCCTACCAACAGTGCACAAGAACATGTCTTCCTAACATATCTTCATTAATAATTGATTTTGGTAGTTTATCAAACTTTGGCTAATCTGCTAGGTGTGAAACGTTATTTCGCTGTGGTTTTAACTTGCATTTCCATGATTGCTAATGAAAACTCAGGATCTTTCATGTGATTACTGGTGACTTATGTTTTGTCTTCTATGACATACCTGCCCATGCACTTGCCAGCATAGTTGTCTCTCAGTATGCATGAGCGATTGGTTCCAGGAACCCTCATGGGTGCTTAGTCCCGTATATGAGATGGTGTGGTATTTGCATATAACTTACGTACATCCTCCTGTATACTTTATTTTTGAGATAGATGTCGCTATGTAGCCAGGCTGGTCCTGAACTCTGGGCCCAAGGCATCCTCTTGTCTCAGCCTCCTAAGTAGCTGGGACTGCAGTCCTCCGTATACTTTAAATCATCTCTAGATTACTTATATAATACAGTGTAAACACTGTATAAATAGTTGTTATACTATATTTTTAAATGTGGCATTGCTGTTTTTTTATTGTTTGTTTTCTGAATATTTTCCATCTGACGTTGGTTTAATCCGTGGATGCAGCGGGCCATCTGTGTTTCCATTGGGTTGTCTCTTTATTTTATTTATTTATTTATTTATTTATTTATTTTGAGACAGAGTCTCACTCTGTCGCCCAGGTTGGAGTATAGTGGCACCGTGCCAGCTCACTGCAACCTCCATCTCCTGGGTTCAAGCAATTCTCCTGCCTCAGCTTCCCGAGTAGCTGGGATTACAGGCATCCACCACCACGCCCGGCTAATTTTTATATTTTTTTTAGTAGAGATGGGGTTTCACCCTGTTGGCCAGGATGGTCTCGAACTCCTGACCTCAGGTAATCCACCTGCCTCAGCCTCCCAAAGTGCTGGGATTACAGGCATGAGCCACCGTGCCCGGTCTAAAAATTTGATATTTAAGGCTTCTTAGATACGTTTGGTGTTTTGGGTACTAAATGTTTCTGTTATATGTGAGCTTACACTATACTTAGTGCTTAATAAACCCTTGAAATCTATTCATACTACCTGTTATCATACACCTAATTGAAAATTAGGGATTCTTGCCCAGGCCTGCGTCTCCATCCTCATCTTTAGTGCTGTCCCAGGACCCTGGCCCCAGAGACATCAAGGCACAGCAGCCAACTGGACTGGCCAGGTTGCCTTTTTATTGCCCAGTCCCTTTGCTTGGAAAGTCCTTCTTTTATTCTTATCCTCGTGGAAGCTTCTATGTTTCCTTTATTGTTGATGTGCTTTGAGTGCTGCCTTTGTGGATCTTTTTCTCACCTTCCAGAGGCCTTCATTGTGTCTCCTACCTGGCCTTACTTTGTGCAGTCACTATGCTGGGGATGTAGCAGGCACAGTTGCTGAAGGCTTGAAGTCAGGTAGTCTGGTGTATTATTTACGGTTTTTATTTTCTATATATTATGATGTTTTGACATCTTAGAAACCATTGTGGTTGGGAAGAGGCTGCCCTTGCAGGTCTAGCCAGTTCTGAGAGGGAGCCAGGGCCTAGCCAGGAGCATGCCTTTGAGATACAAACCAACTAGTCCATACCCAGACCTCCTCTATCTGGCCCTTACACTTCAGGAAGCAGTATTCCCTTGCTTACATCATTCAAGGCTAGGTGCCAGGCAACTAGAGACCACCTCTGTAGCCCAAAGCCTGCTGAAATTATTCAACTTAGCCACTCCTAACCTGTTCACCCTGCCCCGCCTTGTTTTTCCTGGAAGTCCATTAAAGACTGTGGCCTAGTTCTCTCCTCCTCCTGCCCACTCTGCCTCTCACCAGCCTGAGGCGTTCCAGTGTGGCCTGCATGGCGGGCCTCCTGTCTCTAGGATCACTGAGGACAATCAGCTGATTCCTGAGCCTCTACTGTGTGGCCTCTTGTGACCACACCTGACTGGGATCACCTAAAATAGCATAGAACGTATGGTTTGTAATCTTCCTTTGCCCTCTTTCTAGCTGGTGACCTGACCTGACCTCCTCAAGACTCTTTATTTCCTCATCCTTAAAATTGGGATAATTATGGGACCCTCCCTAAAGGGTTGTTCAGAAGGCTAATGCACATAGAATACTTCCAGTGCTGCCTGTGGTAAATATTGCCTGTTATTTTTATTATTACTGTTTTTACATATGTCAATGGACACAACTGTCTTATTTACTGCATTGCTGTTTTTTGAAGGCAAGGCATCTCTGTAACCTTGGACCACTTCCTAAAACAGCAGATTTCTGATGAATGAATGAATGAATGAATATGGGAGGGAAGAATTGGAGCCAAGATATGGAATGTTCACGTGAAGATGTTTGTTTTTATTTGGTTATGCTTTTGACAATGGAGGTGATAGTTAAATGAAGAGCCTTGATTCCTTTACTAAAAAGGCTGGATTTAACCAGAGGGACCTGTGATTTCTACACTGTTGTGAGGAGCCCTGAGTTACCTGGAATGCCTCAAGATTTGCTAAGAGGTGGGGTGGGAGTGTGACACAAAGGGTAGTGGGAGGCCACTGCTTGGGAGGCGCCTTGCCTCTCCCACAGCCATTCACAGCTTCCCCACCCAGAAACCAGACAGTTCTGTGGTAATCCCTTGCATAGATTTGATTTCTGCTTTTAAAAAAAATTACTTTAGAATAGGCAATGGAAATCAAGCTGATTTTTAAGTAAAGAGTAGCACAGTCAGTTTATCCTGGTGTGTGGGTGCTCCCACCTGGATGCTGGGGCAGGAAGACCATGGACACTGCCCAGATGATGGGGATGGGAGTGGATGGCAGTGGTTAAGTCTGAGAAGTTCTGTAGGGGAAAGGAGAGCCCGTGTGGCTCTGCAGAGAAAGGGTCAGTAGTGCCCCTCAATTGACAATGTGGGAGACCAGAGCCCAGGGGTATCTCATGTTTTAAGACAAAGAGGCCAAGCTGGTGATACAGGTTTGCTATAAAAGTTGTAGACATCATCAGGGCATTGGCGTGTCTGCTGGAGCCATAGGACCTGTGAGATTAGTAACCCAAGGACAATGAATTTTAATTTATGGAGCAAATATGTATTCCAGCCAACCAGCAACATCATGTTGAGCAATGCAGTCATGGTCCTGTCCTTGTAGACCCTACAGACCAGTGGGAAACAGTGGGGTCTGATGCAGGCTGGAGGGATCAGGATGCATTTCTGAGAAAGTGGTGGTTGAATCGGCATTTAGAATTGTGAGTTCCACTGAATGAGTGTGTGAGGGACAGGGGCAGCTGGAAGAGTTGAGGAAGGACCAGCAGCTTATGCCAAGCTCAGGAGCGATGGATGATGGACCCCAGAGAAAGCCAGTGTGACAGGCAGGCGAGTCTGGGGGCTTCCTGACAGTTAACTAGAGGTGCAAAGAGTGGAAACTCTTTCCTCCAAACTTGCCCGGCCACCTTGCCTGACCTTTCAGTTGCCACTCTCCTGATTCTTTTGGTCTTGTGTTAGTCCACTAGGGCTGCCATAACAAAGTACCACAGACTGGGTGGTTCAAGCAACTGAAACTTATTGTCTCATAGCTCTGGAGGCTGGAAGTCCATGATCAAGGTGTTGTCAGGGTTGGTTCCTTCTGAGGGCTGTGAGGGAAGGATCTGTTCCAGGCCCCTTACCTTGCCGCTGGTGGTTTTCTGGCAATATTTGGTGTTCCTTGGCTTGTAGAAACACCATTCCACTTCATCATCCTGTGACATTCTTGCTGGGTGTTGCCTGTGTCCAGATTTTCTTTTCTTTCTTTTTTTTTAAATAAGGACACCACTCATATTGGATTAGGGGCCACCTACTTTAGTATGACCTAATCTTAACTAATTACATCTGCACCAACCGTATCTCCAACTAACATCCCATTCCCAGGTCCTGGAGGTTAGGGCTTCAGCATATACATTTTCAGGGGGACAGAATTCGACCTATAACAGATCCCGCTTTTGCCAGGTATTGTTGTTATTGTTATTTAAACAGCTCCTTCGAATATGAACAGGAACCTGCTCTTTTTTCTCTTATGGCCTAGGGACAAAAACGTAAAATTGAAACTGGCTTGTAGTAAACGTGCAGTAAAACTTAAATAGTAAGGTCTTTGTTCAAGTGCCATAATTTACCTCCCCCGTATAAGAAAATACAAGTGCCTATTGTTGGGCATTAACCTACCAGACAGTTACCGCCAAATGGATAAGCCGGCAACCAGTGGAACCAAAATGTATGCTATAGGAGCGGGGTCGGAGAGAAGGGGGAGTGTAGGTGGGAGGAGGAGTGTTGTGGGGGAGAAGAAAGAGAAGAGAGAGAGAGAGAGAGAGAGAGAGCACGCACAACCAAAACCAAACCCAGACTTCCCAGTGTGTCGTTAGGTCGCAGCCGTGCTGAGTCAGTGGCCTTGGAGATGGCAGGGCCACAGTGTGTGGCTGCCGGCCGTTTGTGGTCAGAGATGCTGTATTTAGAATGTGGCTTCCAGCCTACCTGGTCACCTTTCCTTGACATCCTGTGGCTTCCCAAAATGGGGGACCTGCTGTCAGTTCAAGTGAAGTTTTTAAACGGCAGTAGTTTCTTCCCCTCCCCTCTTCATCCCTGCCTGTTCAGAATCTGTTTCCAACTCTCCGTCAGCGTTCACGGTTTTATGAAGGCTGAAATTCAGGAGGTGGGCACCTACCTGTAGGCACATAAGCTGGGATACGTTCTGGTGGGTCAGTGCCTGTGCTACGCAGGTTATTCAATATTTTGAATTTCACCCCTAGTTTCACACAATATTTTTGAAATTCAGTTTTTATTCCAGCTCTACATGTGCGTATGATAAACAGGCCTGTGTCCAGTTTAGGTCATGAAATCTTAGACTTGTGGAAGCTGGTCAGTTTTGAGGTCCAGCTTCCTATGCAGTGTGGGTTTTCTTCTCCTGTGGCAGCCTGATAACTTGTCTCCACAGGAAGATCCATACTGGCCAGGTGCTTCTTACTGCAGATGCCCATGGGCAGCTTCCTGTTGACCTGATCCCACTCCCCTTGATGGTTTCACCTTTGACTTTTATTGAACCGTTTGTAGCTCATTTTTTGTTATTAACAATATATTTTAGCCTTTCGTTTACTTGAAGGTACTGCTATTTTGTTTCCCATTTGAATATTGCTCTCTAGCACAACACTTCTTTCATTCTTTTATGTCATTTCTCACTCGTCACACTGTGAAGCCACTTTAGTTTGTCAGCATCCCTCATGACAGGAGCACTTCCCAGAGGAGGTGGTTCCATCAGGGCAGAGTTCACTGCTGTCAGCTGGGAGGGCTGGCTCAGCTGCTGACATGTTTTATCTTCCAAAGCAATGCATTCTGCTACTTTGAAGCTACCCTGAATCCAGGGTCACAGGGTCCTGGATTTCCTCACCCCAAATGGTTGACTTCTTGCAACATTTCTTAAAAACCTTCGATCGTTTTTGCATTGTTTGAATAAAGTTCAGACTTACTTGATTAAATTGCCTTCCAGAATGTGACTTGGGTTAGGAATTCCCAAACTTTGTTAGAGGAATGTTAGGTATGCCAGATGCTAAAAGGTGCATGCTTTCACCACCAGCTCTCTCTTTCTGGGAAATGGGTATTCTCTCATTAAATAGACTGGGAACGACTGCTTGCTAGATTGACCTCTTGCTGATTCACAAGGTCGCTTTGCATGTTGCAGGTTTTGAGAGGTTCTAAGCTGTATTAGTTTCCTATGGCTTTTGAAACAGACTGAGTGGCCTAAACAACACAGCTGTCTTCTCACAGTTCTGGATGTCCAAAATCAAGGTGTATGTCAGAAAGGCCATGTTCCCTTTGGAGGCTTCAAGAGGAGAATTCCTTGCTTTCTTCTTCTAACTTCTAGTGGCTGCTGGAATCCCTTGACTTGGGGCACATGGCCCTAATCTCTGCTTCTGTGGTCTCGTGGCCTCGTCTTCTGACTGGGTGAAATCTCCCACTGCCTGTTTCTTATAAGGACTCTCGCGATTATGCTCAGAGTTCACCCAGATAATCCACGATAATCTCCAGTCTCCCCAACGCAAGGTCCTTAACTTCATCACATCTGCAAAGATGATTTTCTAATATGAGGTATCAGTCACAGATTTCAGTGGTGAGGATGTGGCTGTGTCTTTTGGGGGCCATTTTTTAGCCTGCTGCATTAACTCCACAGCTGACTCACTTTACCTGTTCATGGCTAAACACACTTTGCTCGCGCTTCGCACACCTACTCCTCCTGCGCTCAGCTGCCTGGGCTGTTTATCTGCAGCATTTATCTTGGACTACGCAGCTCAAGTCTTTCTCCCTCTTTCACGACGTCTTCCTGTGAGTTCTGGCTTCCTTCTTTTCATTGCAAAGTAGTTTGGTTTATATATATATTTTTAACACACTCTGCATCTCTTGCCTCATCTCTCATGAAACCCTGTGCTGTTGTTGAACTTCTGGCGGTGTGGAATAGTGGATAAGAGTCTCTGGAGTCAGACTGTCTGGGTTGAAATCCCAGTTCCCCAGTTAATAGCTTTGTGACTTTGGGTAAGTCACTTAATTACTTTTGCCTAAATTCCATTGTCTGTAATGTGGGGATAATTAGAGTAAAGACTTCTCTTCCTTGTGAGAATTACCACAATTAATAAATACAGACTGCCATGAACACAGCCTCTCATCGTATGATCAGGAACAATAGCTATAAGCCACATGTGTCTGTCGAGCAGTTCAGTGTGACTAGCGTACCCGAGGAACTGGATTTTTAAGATGGAAGCAGTGCACGATATATTTCTGTTAAACACAGTTTTCTTGTTTTGGTAAGACTACATTAGCATACATAAACACACTACCAATCTTGCTGGTGTCAAATAATTTATTCAGTATATACTTTTTCTGTGTTCTCACTTTATAGTATTTATTAAATATTTTGTGCAGACAGTGCAGCTTATAGTGATGCAAGTACATTATCATTAGTAATTAAATTGAAATGTTTGTTTTAAATTTTTTATTTCAATAGCTTTTGGGGTACAAGAAGTTCTTGGTTACGTGGGTGAATTGTATGGTGGTAAAATCTGAGATTTCAGTGTACCTGTCACCCAAGTAGTGTACATGGTACCTGACATGTAGATTTTTATCCCTCATCCCCCAGAAATGTTTAAGTGATATATAAAATTAAGGTAACTACATCACTTGTTAGTAAATAAATATGGACAGTTTTTAAATTTGAAGTGAAGGCATACTACTGTTGCGGAGTGAGTACAGATACAGAAATTAGTAGTATGATCAAAGCAGTGGGAACACAAAGAGACTAGGGACTTCATGATGAATCTCATTTGCAATTGTATAAAAAATGTAAAGAAAATGAAATGGGCAATATTAAGACATTTTCAAGAAATCTGTGGTAGATTTGATGAGAAGTTTTTTCTCAAAGGTCAATGAAGAATTGATGGAAGTAATTGCCTGAAAGCAGAATTTAGTGTTTTATTAGTCCGTTTTGCATTACTGTAAAGGAATACCTGAGACCGTGTAACTTATAAAGAAAAGAGGCTTATTTGGCTCTCAGTTCTGCAGATGTTAGCATGGCAGTAACACTCATTCATGAGGGATCTGTCCCCCTGTCTCAAACACCTCCCACTAGACCGCACCTTCAACATTGAGGATCACATTTCAACATGAGATTTGGAGGGACAGAAATCTAAACTATATCAAATGTTCATTAAGTTTAAAAATTTTAACAGAGTATGAGCCTGTAACTTTGGCCACCTATACAGTGTCTTGGATTCATGCACTATAGAGGAAGCCAGTTTAAGATGGAGAGATGGCAGAAGGAATTATTGCAGGTACCAAAATTTTATTAGAAAATTATGAGAAGAGACAAAAATATATTTCACAAAAACTTAAAGATATTTTTCACTAAACAGTTGCCTATAGACTACATGACCCATTTGAAATTTGAAACATTTCAATTACTTTCCTTTAGCTTTGTGTAAGTTATACAGTATGATGATCCATTGTCCGATTAATACAGACTTTAAGATTTATAAATAAATGTTGTAATTTTTTTTGCCAAAAATAACAGATTTGTGGCAGAGATATTTTTGAATGTTTTAAGAACATTCAATTCAAACATTTGACTGTTTCAAAGAATTTCAGATGGATATGAAAAAATTAATTTCTATTACAGTTGACCCAGCTCTCTTAGACCGAATTCTGTATTTATTGGAATTTTTCAAGAGGCTGGTATTTCTCTTATTGCTTCATTCGACTGTATTCTGAAGCTGGACAGAGTACAATACAGTAGTTAACTTGGCAAAAAGTGTGACACATACTAGTAGTTAAAATTATCCAGTCTATAAGTGTAAATTCATAGATCATTGCTGGTTTATGGACCTGCAGAAAGAAATGGAAGACAGTGAAGGCAGTGACCTTGTGATCTTTAGCAGCACTTGTTGGTGGAGTCCTGGACGAGTTTTACACAGATTTCTATAGCATAATATTTACTCCAACCAAAGATGATCTTTTGTTGAAACAAAAAGGGGCACTTGCCCAAGTATTCAGTACTTAAAAAGGGAATATGGGCCGGGCGCGGTGGCTCACACCTGCAATCCCAGCACTTTGGGAAGCCAAAGTGGGTGGATCACCTGAGGTCGGGAGTTTGAGACCAGCCTGACCAACATGGAGAAACCCTGTCTCTACTAAAAAATACAAAATTAGCCGGGTATGGTGACGCATGCCTGTAATCCCAGCTACTCGGGAGGCTGAGGCAGGAGAATCACTTGAACCGGGGAGGCAGAGGTTGCAGTGAGCCAAGATCGTGCCATTGCACTCCAGCCTGGGCAACAAGAGCAAAACTCCATCCAAAAAAAAAAAAAAAAAAGGGAATATAGCAGTATGGTTTATGTTTTCTGACTCAGATCACACTACTTTTGAATGAACTAATTTGAAAGTCTCAGGAAAGGACAAGGTAATTTGTCAACTAGCTAGGCAGATATTAGAATTCATGTTGAAATTGAAGGTTTTCATAATATAAGTCAATAGTAATGATTAATGTGCAGAAGATTTTAATTATAAATACCATTATATATATTGGCTACAAAAACTAGAATTTGAAGAGCTCTTTGTTGATACTGATAAATTTAGAGTTGTTTTCCAATTTATGCAAATATTCCTTTGAATCCAGTGTTAATACTGACTTGACACAAGAGTTAATTAGCTTACTTAACTTGAACCGATATGGATTTGAAACTGATATGCTTATACTTCAAAGTCAAATCAGTTTTTCTTTCTTTTTTTTTTTTTTTTTTGTTTGAAATGAAGTCTCACTCTGTCACCCAGGCTAGAATGTAGTGGCCTGGTCATAGTTCACTGCAGTCTTGAACTCTTGGGCTCAGGCAATTCTCCTGTCCCAGCTTTCCAAGTAGCTAGGACTACAGGCCTGCCTCACCATGCCCAGTTTACTTTAAAATAACAAACATTTTCTTTGTTTTTTTTGGTACATGGTCTCATTCTGTCACCCAGGTTGAGTGCAGTGGTGTGATCATGGCACACTGCAGCCTTGACCTTCTGGACTACAAGCAATCTTCCTGTGTCAGCCTCCTGAGCAGCTGGGACACACCCAGCTAATTAAAAAAATATTATTTTAAAAATCTTTTGTAGAGATGGGGTCTCACTATGTTGCCCAGGGAGGCCTTGAGCTCTTGGCCTCAAGCCATACTTTGGCTTTGGTTTGGCTTCCCAAAGTGCTGGAATTATAGGAAGGAGCCACCACGCCTGGCCCAAATCAGTTCTTTTAAACAAAAGTGAACCAGTTTTGTCAATGTACTTGTGAAAATTAAAGGAAAATGATTTTTTGGATACTCAATTTCGTTATGAGAAAACTTTTAAGTATATTTGGTACAGGTTGGGTACATGAATTTACTTTTTCAATGATCAGTTTTATGAAATCTAAAACAGATCAAGTATTTCTGATGAAAATTTACATTTGAATTGTGATATGCCATAAGTGTAAAATATAGTCATGTGCTGCATAATGACATGTGGGTCAGCAAGGGACCATACACAATGGTAGTCCCATAAGATACCATATTTTCACTGTACCTTTTCTGTGTAGATACACAAATACTTACAATAGTGCGACAGTTGCCTACAGTATTCAGTACAGTAACATGCTGTACAGGTTGCAACCTAGGCACCATAAGACTATATCATATATCCTAGGTATGTAGTTGGCTCTACTACCTAGGTTTGTGCAAGTATACTGTAATGTTCATGCAATGGTACATTTCTCAGAATGTTTCCCCGTTGTTATGTAATTCATTGACTGCGTTGGATTTTGGAGACTTTAATATGAAAAAGTATGTAAAATATCTGGATAATTTTTTATTAACATGTGCATAAAACATTCTAGATATATGTGTTAAATAAAATTCATCTTTATCTGTTTCTTTTTACCTTTTTTAATTTGGCTACTGGAAAATTAAAAATTACATATGTGGCTCACATTATATTTCTGTTGGCCAGTGCTGGCCTAAAATGTGAGAAGTATGTAGTGAATGAATGTCGGCATTAATGTCATTGCTAATATGATGATGATGATGATGATGATGATGATGATGTGGTAGATGTGTTGTTTCCTTGTCCTCTCGCTAGATTATAGAAACTCAAATGTAGGAAATGCATCTTATTCTTATTTTCATTTACTCTGTCATGTTGCATAGTACATCAGATATTAATAGATGGTTATTAGCTGATTGATTGCTCCATGATCTGCTTTTAACAATGAAAATTCAGACCTCACTGTTTTTAAACCTCAGGATAAAGGTATCCCTTTAAATGAGCTCAGGCAAGCATGCACACACTCACTCACGGATACACAAATACACACAGTAGCACGTTGTTTAGTATACTTAAAGGGGGGATTAGTTTAAGCAATGGCTTTTGATAGTGGATTATTGCAAGGATAATTGAAGATACTTAAATTTGAAATATTATTTTGTGCTAAACTGTATATGGGTTTTTATATAAATTTATTAATTTCTTTAAAAAACTGCTGTGGCATCTTATTTTGGTTGAAACGTTTTTATTTTGATTGAGGGAGAGGTATTGTGGACATAACACTGTAATTAGAATTAAACAAATTGGTTTCATATTCTGCCAAGTTCTCTAACTAGCTCTATGACCTTGAACAAGGGATTTATGCTTTCTTCAATTTTCTGATCCGGAAAAATGAGGATAATATCAGCTACCTCACCAGGATGTTGTGAGATATAAATGGGAAAAAACATCTAAAGAGTACTTAGCAACTATAAGAAATTACAGGAATGTAAGATATTATTTTGATAGAAACAATAATAAATACTTTGCTGTATAGTGTAAGGTTGAAGAATGTATGTTATAGTATAAGGCAAACTATGTCTATAGAAAGTTGATAGCTTAACTATATGACTCAAATAGTTGACTTAACTATATGACTTAACTATATGACTCAAATCTACTGTCAAATAGCCAAGATATATCATAAATATTAGGAGAGAATAGCTGGGAAACAGAAGTAGTTGTTAGACATTTAAGTATTTTAAGATTAGACCAAAAAGTGCATGTGGTCAGGCTAGACTGAATCAGAGACACCTACCTGCTTTTCAGCTTCTACACTGAAGGTAAGACTCACTTCGGCCTTAGCATAAGGGCCTGGCTAGATTGGCAATTTAAAGTTTGGTGCTATTGAGACCAAGATGTGGGTGGTGGTGTCCAATCCCTATTAGGCGAGGAAGTTATTTTTCCACCTAGAGAACTCCACTACCCTTACAAAGCTCTGGTCTTTTTCAGTGGAATCTTGAAAATGTTTTCTATCAGTACCACTGAGTAGAGATTTTAAAAAGTATATGGTTGAATAAGAGCTAAGCCCCCGCTGCTGTTGGCAAAAGAAAGCAAAGCAACAAAATAAAGAACAACCTAAAAGCATTAGTCCTATAGAGGTTCAAACTGCAGTCTCAGTATCTCGCCAACTGTTCATTTTATCCCCTTTATTTCTGTGGTGGAGCTGAGCTATCTAGAATCACACCATGATTGTGCAGTCTACAAGGCAGTGACACTGGAAGACAGCTGCACAAGCATGAAGGAGGCACAGACTTTGGGACTTTTAATATGTGATTCCTCCACGCCCACCACAAGTTATTTTGGATACCTTCTTTGGGTGGCAGAACCGAAATACACAATATAGCACAACCTAACAAATACAGAGATTTAGTAGCCCACAGAATGGAGTTTTGCCAGGTGTGCCTATCCCCAGTCACCACACCCCGGTGAAATCAACATTCTTTGTGCTAACTTGGAGCTCTCCTTGCCTCCGGTGACTTAAAGTTGTTTTTACAAAATTTGATATATCCTTGGGCACTGAATATGAGTTAGCTTTATTAGTTTAATGATCTGCACCTTTCTGGGTAAATGCTTACAGATTTCTACATTTACGCTCCTGATATATGCTTGAATTTTGTCTATTTTTCAGTAATTTTAAGTAACAAAATCACAGTTCTTAACTTGTATGTTTCTTCAGTGATTTACAATGTTTCCTGTCTGTCTGGAACTCTATAGTGGCAGAGCAGATCTGAAATGCATCAGAGAGTTGACAAGTGACATTTCTATCATGACCTGCACATATTTTAAGAACGGTCTTAACTGGATTAATTATATCCTTGAAAGAAATTGGGTTAAAAAGACAAGAATATTTTTAAATAGTTAACTCTGTGCTTAACCAACAGCAGTATTTCAGTAGCAGACTGTTAAATTAATGTACAGTGAAATAGGGAAAGATATAGTCATCAGTATTTATGTATCCTTTTGTTATTCTTATGACCTTTTTAAAGCCATAAACAAAAGGACATTTGTTTTGCCTTCCTGCCTTAGCCAGGACACAAATTATAAAAAGAAATGCACAAGGAAACATTAATAAATCAAGTAAATACTAAAATTTCATAATTCTTCTCTTTTTACTGCAGTTTTTTTCCTTCCAAATTTAAAGTTTTTCATTAAGCATGGCCTTGCACACTGGACAAAGTGCAGCTCTGTTTTAGAGTACCTGCAAAACATCATTTCCTCTATAAATCACTCGAGTGATTAGAACTGCAAAGCATGGACTTTGCAAAGAAACAGCCTTTAATTGTATGGCCTGTCACTTTGAGAGATAGTGAGAAAGGGAGGAGAGAGGAACTCTAATTTTATTTTTCATCAGTTTTAATTTTTTAATATGTGTAGCTATTTACTGCAAAGAAGTTATTATTTCAGTGTGAAGTTCACTGTTAATTTATTATTAACTTCCCTACACACCTGTACAAATCTTTATTAATGTATTTGGAACCCTGGTTCTAAAAACTTTCAGCTAGTATATTGTAAACTTGAAAGGAGTTACTCACATCAGCACTGAACTGTCCGGTTAGGCAGATCTTTAAAAGGATCTGATAGGGATATTCTTCTTGTATTTCCTGTGTATTTTCCCAATCCTGATTTCATGCTCGTGTGGTGATTTATTTTTCCAGGGCACTGTGCCATCCAGTATAGAAGAGGTCAGTGTGGTAGTATTTCATAGCTTTTCTTTCATCCACAAAGCCTTGCCACCTTCTGTCCATGACTCATGCATCTACTGGTGTTCTCTGATAGCAAGAACATTTTGATTAGCTGTACAGGTTACCTGGTTATTATTCTCATGCTGTCCACATGTGGGTGGATGTGTGTGAAATCTGGAGGTCCTAGCCAATGTTGAAACATAATCCTATCTAGACCAGGAAATGCCTGGCTTCCCAGATACTTCTCAGAGCAATAGGGCAGGGACTAAATTTCTTATTTCCTTCCTGTCCTCCTCCATCCCATAACACCTATGGTCCAAATGGGTGTTTGATAGTCATTATTAATACATTCTATAGAAGCCATATTTTATGTGAAAATATCTCTAGGCCCATCATTTTCCATTCTAATAGGATCCATTATAGAGGGATCGATCCTATTAGTGAAGCAAATTGCCATATAAATAATGTATTACAAGTAGACATAGTTTAAATCCTTGTTCTACCTACTAACTATTAGACCCTGAGCTATTACCTCTCAATTCACCTCAGATTCCTCATCTGTAAAATCGAGATGAAAACAGTACCAATGACATGGGGTTATTATGAAGAGTTAAAAAGATACTGAATGCAGAGCACTTAGTGCATACTGGGCATATACCAAGTGCTGTACAAGTGCTCACTATCCTTCTTAGTACTGCTGTCATCATTTGTAGTGATAGTAGGCCATATGAAGATTTTTTTTTCTCTGATGGATGAAAACTTCAGTATGAGTGGCAAGAATGGGATGGAGGGAGGGAGAGGAAAATAGAGGTTCAAATAAAAGGAGCTTACGTTAAGAAAAAAAAAAAAAAGGAAAACCAGTGAGATACTGTATGCCTTGGGCATGCTTGTATTCACGTAGTGATGAGCAGGTGGACTCACCCTTGCTGTATCTATATATTATGTACCACCTAGCACACACGTAGGCTGTTAATAGATGCCTTTGGATTTACAGATGTTCTTTAACTTACAGTGGGGGTCTGTCCCTATAAATCCTTCGTATGTTGAAAATATCAAAAGTACATTTTTGATTTACAGTATCTTCAATGTATTATGGGTTTATCTTGGACTCCATTGTAAGTTGAGGAGTGTACTGAATGTGTACCGTTTTCATACCATCATAGAGTTGAAGAATTGTAGGTGGATCCATCGTAAGTTGGGGACTGGTTGTCCCTTTGAGGCTTCTCCAGCATTTCTGGGACTGTATTTATTGGAGTATCTGTGTGTGTGTGTGCTGTTTTTCTCCTAATCATTTAATTAAAAATTAATCTTTCTATACCTTACCAACAGTTGCTTCCTTTGTACCTGCTTGTTTTAAACCCTTTAGTCTCATTTTTCTTATAGAGTTTGCCTAAATTATAGAAAATTATTTTAGTATGTTGAAAGTAGTATTATTACACATGTTGGGTTGTGCAAAGATGTGAATTCCTGAGTTCACATTGTATTTGCGTTCTTCCTTGCTCTAATATTATACTAAGGGTTTACAATAATCATTTGCAATATAAAAGAGACTGAAGATTTGCTAGCCTGCTTCAAAATATCAGTTTTTGAGTGGCTTTTATTGGAGGTGAAAATTAGTCAATTTTGTACATGTTCTTGATACTTCCAAGAACAAACCAATTGGTAAAACACAGCCTACTAGAAAAATAGGTAAAGTGTATATATAATTCCCTGAAAAAAAAATTAAGGCCACAAACACCAAAAACTCTGTAGTGTTACTACCAGTCAAAAAATGAAAAAACACGTCTGTACCATTTTTTAAAAACCTATCACATTGGGGAAAGTATTTTTTTTTAAATTAATCTTTTAGGGCATTTCTTCCCTGTTTGATATTTTTTATATGTAAATCTTTTTTTTCTTATCAAACTAATCATGGACATAACATAACATTGCAATGTACTGAAACTGAGTGTGTTTTGGGGGAGAGAATTCTGTGCCATGGTAGACCAATATCAAGGATGATTGAAAGCCTCTGGCCTCTTTCTGAAATGCTGATACTTGGTTAGCCTTACACTCATCACCCAATACTAGAAGGTATTGTGTCTGGCCACAGAGCGGCTCTCTTTTCTTGATAGGTTTGAGGTGTATGTGCAACCACTGAGCACCTGTTTGCGAGGCTATTGCCCTTGAAAGGAGGGAAGGGGTGGCTATGTAAAGAGTATCTTAGCTGCTGGACATAAACGATTCTTCATTATTCAGAGGTTATTGATCATGTTGCTGGATTGCAGTGCTTCTCTGTATCAGGAGGTAAATCAAAGGAAGGGAAAGTTGGTTCTTTGGTGACAGCAGCTTTTATGGGGAAATATTTTTCACCTTTGAAGACTATAGGAGATGGGAGTTATTTCTGTGTTTTAAATATTGATGGTATCCTCATTTCCTTTCTACTAATTAGTTAATTATTGCTCTATTGATAATTATTGGCTCTATTTTTGTTCTTCACTTTGGTAATTCCATTTGTCTGTTTTACCGGGTTCTCAATTGTAGTCATTAGTCCAGCCTCTTCATTTTAGATATTTCCCCGGTATTTTTTAGTGCAAAATTCTGAGGTCTGGGAGTCCAGAGACCTGGTTTTCATTTTTATTTTTTGGTTGCAGGTTCTGCTACTTCCTAACTGTGACTGTACAATAAACATTTACCTGCTTTGAATCTCCATTTCCTGATCTGTAAAATGAGAGGGTTGGATTAATTAATCCCCATGGTCTTTTGAATTTTGTGAGTCTGACAGAGATTTTGTCCAATGATTTGTGTTACAAACATGACCTAGGTATAAACACCTTTCTATTATATTCTGTCTCCGTATTCTTCACAGCAGTGGTTAAATCATTGGAAGTTTTCATTCTCATTCAAAACAGCATCATTTGTTAATCATTGAAGTGTTTGTGTTTTGCTTATTGGAGGCACAGATTACCTTGATATTGTAATTCCGATTAGCTGGGAAGATGCCTTAGGAGTAATTAGACAACATGGAGTTAAAGAACATAAAAAGGCAGTGCAAACGAGTGCTTTCTCTTCTTGCAGAAGGGGTTATTCTATTTCCTGATGCCTGAGATGATCTAAACAAAGAGATTCGTTTTATTAGTGGTGTGGTTTCTTTAGCCCAGTACCATGACCGTATCCTGTTCAAAGAAGCCGCCACAGGGTGCTTAAGTAGAAACATACAGTATGATTTAGCATGCAGTTCAGAGGGGCCAGGTTCTCACATTGCATGTAAGAAAGTTCCCTTTTCGTTTGTCTGTCTGGGCTACTTATTCATCTGTATTGGAAGAGAGGAGAAAAATGCTAGTCTTCCTGTGTTGCGGGAGGATGGCTTGCCCTCGTACATAGGTGTTGGGATGGGGTGTGTGTGGGGGATGTGTGGATGTGAGATCAGTCTTTTTTTTAGCCATCTGTGGTCATTGAGAAACACAGAAACTTTCTGTGTTTCTTTCAGCTTTTCATAGTTGTGGAATTTTAGGTAGTTGTCATACTGTAGTCAAAACATGATTCTGTGAATTTCTGGAATTGGTCTTTAATTTTTACATAACTCTGTCTGGAACATTTCTGAGTACTTCATGAAAAGTGAGGGTCCATCCCCTCGGAAGAACAGGATAGGCGTCAGGAACACTGAAACCTGGCCCCATGGGACCCTGGTGCCCTGCCCTTTGGCCCCAAAGCTGGACCTACAACCACCAGCAATCTAAATCCACCTCCAAACAACACTGAACAACTGCATGGGCAGTGCCAGTCCCCCAAAAACCCAGACCGGGAAAATCTCAGGTGCTGTATCCTTTCTCCCTCCTCTGAGCTCTGGAGTGTTCTAAAATTACATGACTTCTCTGCATTTGGGTCACTTGATTAGAACTGGAAGCACTGTTTCATCCATAAAATACCCTGTAATGGAAAATGACTACATCAACTTGGTTTGAAAATGTATCTTTTATGGTCTCTTATTATTTTGTTGGGTTTTGACATGTTTTGGTGCCAGGTAGAGGAGTGGGAGGAAGGAGATTATTTTCTACTTCAAAACAGTGGGTGGCTAGGATTCTAGTCCTGGCTTTGTCTGTAACTAGTGTGATATTAGAAAAGTTGGCTAACCCCCCTGTGCCTCAGTTACCCGAGATGCCAAATATCTGCCCACCTTCCTAGCTTAGTTCTTGCGAGAGTAGGATGGGTGGCTCACACCTATAATCCCAGCACTTTGAGAGGCTGAGGCAGGTGGATCACCTGAGGTCAGGGGTTTGAGAACAGCCTGGCCAACATGGTGAAACCTGTCTCTACTAAAAATACAAAAAATTAGCTGGGTGTGGTGGTGGGCACCTGTAATCTGAGTTACTCAGGAGGCTCAGGCAGGAGAATCACTGGAACCTGTGAGATGGAGGTTGCAGTGAGCCGAGATTGCACTATCGCACTCCAGCCTGGGCAACAAGAGTGAAATTCTGTCTCAAAAAAAAAAAAAAAGGAAAATATTTCTGTGTCTTGAAAATGTTAAAGCCATGGTGATTGCTCAAAATAGTATGGCATTTAATATAAAATAGATACCCTTAATAGCCCACGTGTAAAATTAAACTTAAAAGGGTCATATTGGGACATTATCTTTACAACTAAAGAGTTTTCTGTAACAAGGATTGAACCTAGGCAGGACTTTATACCAGAATAATTGTGTTCATACTGAATGAGTTACAGATTTAGTCTGTTTGTTCCTTGTTTCAGAGGAGTCAAGCGTCAGAACTTAATGGTGGTTGTAGGTTCTCATTTGCTGTGACATTTCAGTCATTAGTCTGATTGGAGCATTCTTTATCAGCTCTGTGCTTCAAGAGGAGGCGGAAACCACCATCCTGTTGGCTTGGCGGACGTCTGCCTGCTCAGATACCACGTCTCTCCTGGAGTCCCCCAGGGGCCTGGGGAAAGGACGAGGGGGCGGCCAGCTGGGCCCCCTGGGCTGGGGACCAGGAGCCCTCGCTCGGCTCGTTTCCCACTCATTGTGCGGCCCAGGCCCTATCACTCGAGAGGCCTGGCAAGGAAGTGAGGAGGAAGCCGGTGCCACTACTGGTTCAGAATGTTCCAGTGTGGTTGGAAAGTCTGAGAAGCAGCCTGGGTGAGAAGAACAAGACCTTATTGACAGGGTTCAGTCCTGGTCAGGTCTGTTTCACATCAGCTCTCTAAATAATCACAGCTCTTGCCACCTCAGGGATCTCTAGCACGTTTACCTCTGGCTTTTTTTTTTTTAAACATTTAATGTAGCTATGGTAGAACACAAAGCATTCAAACTTTTTATTCCAAGAGAATGATTAGAAGTATAGTGTTGCCTGCTTCAAAACAATAATAGCAAAACAAAGTCCAAACTTCATACTTTACAGGGCTTTCCAACCTACTGCCAAATTATTAGTCTTATTGCAAATATTTTTCTATTAAGCTGTTTTCTCATTGATTGATTTATAGGGATATTGATTATCCTATAATAACATTTTCAGTGGTTGTGTAGCCCGACTTGGCTTGTCATGGTCTGAATTGGTCAGTGTCATTATCTAACTTAGATAATGGTCAGTGTCATTATCTGACATATATTTTAGATATGTAAAAACGGTAAGAATTGTAAGAATGGGATTAAAAAAGAATATGCCAAACATTTTCTCTTCTGCACATGAATCTATAAACTAGAATATTTACCTCAAGAAGTCAGAAGAAAATCTGCTGGAGATTTTAGCCCTGGCATGGTGGCTAACGCCTGAATCTCAGCCTTTGGGAGGCCCAGGCAGGCAGATCACGTGAGGTCTAGAGTTCCAGATCAGCCTGGCCAACATGGTGAAAACCCGTCTCTACTAAAAATATGAATATTAGCTAGGGGTGGTGGCACGCACCTGTAATCCCAGCTATTTGGGAGGCTGAGGCACGAGAATCGCTTGAACCCGGAGGCAGAGGTTGCAGTGAGCCACGATAACAGCACTGCACTCCGGCCTGGGTGAAAGAGCGAGACTCCATCTTAAAAAAGAAGAAGAAGAAGAAAATCTGCTCTAGGTTTTAATGAACCACAGAATGTGTCCCTTGTATGCTTTGCCTTGTCATTCTGCCTGAATTTATGCATGACTTCTGCATTAATGTAGTAAACACACACTTGGCAGTCCTTTCATTTTCAGGACCCATAGGGTGTTTCCAATTCCAGCTTTTGGTCAAGTAATAAGAAAAAGGTTTTTTGTTTTTTTTTCCCCCTGGAATATCTGGTAGGAGCTTTTGAAGCTCTAAGGGATATTTAAAGCCTGTTCAAATTGAAGAAACCGAAGAAAACCCAAACGTCCCCAACCACTTCTGAGGACACGAATTTCCAGTGGTTGGAGCTTCCCATTTTTATCTTTTCGTCTGAATGAGATGGATGGGGACCCTCTAGTTGGGCAGAAAGCAGAGGAGCAGTTATGGGATCGACTGCAAAATGTCTAACCAATTTATTTTCTGAGAGAGGCTGGTGACTTTTTATAGCACCTACAGAATGGTGATTTTTGAACTTTTGACCTATTAAATAGTTTAATTATATGTCTCTCATACTTTCCCTCTAAAAGTGGCACATGAAATATTTTAGGTCAAATGAAGACCCCTACCCAGAAATTTTAAAAATAATTATTAAGAACCAGTTGAGAATCTCTGTATTTTGTCAGACACCTTCATTTTAAGGCAGGAATTAGCTATATGATTTAAGATTAATACAAAGGAAATACGATTTTATAAAAAAAGAGAATATCTTCTTTTTTTAAAAGTTCATTTGTATGTGTGCATAATAATACAAATCTGATCCCCATCCCTGCTCCCTGCCACCTTAAAACCTTTTCAAGCCTTCAGTGATTTTCCAGAACCTTTAGGGTTAGCAGCCAGCTGTGGCCATTGCCTGGAAAGGCCAGCCCTCCAAAGGTACTCACCTTCCTCCACATCCCCCTGGCCTTCTTTATTCTACCATGGAGTCTTTTCCTCTCCACACTAGCCCTTCTATATCCCCAACCCACCTAGTTCCCATCTTATCCCCTTCCCCAGTGATTTTTTTTTTCTTTCCCTCTGGAGACAATGTCTCCCTCTGCCACCCAGGCTGGAGTGCAGTTTTGCAATCATGGCTTACTCCAGCCTCGAACTCCCAGGTTCAAGTGATCCTCCCACCTCAGCTTCCCAAGTAGCTGGTACCATAGGCACGAGCCACCAAGACTGGCTAATTTTTAAAGATGTTTTGGGCTGGGCATGGTGGCTCACACCTGTAATACAACAGTTTGGGAGGCCACGGTGGGAAGATCACTTGTGTCCAGGAGTTTGACACCAGCCTGGGCAACATAGTGAGACCCCATCTCCACCAATTTTTTGTTTTGTTTTGTTTTGTTTTGTTTTAACAGTGCTAAGGTCTCACTGTGTTGCTCAGGCTATTCTCCAACTCTTGGATGCAAGTAATCCTCCTGCCTTGACCTCCCAAAGTACCAGGATTATAGGTGTGAGCAACTGTGCCTGACCCCCAGTGATCTTGTTTAATGACCCCCCAGAATTACTAAGATTTCTGCTTTATGTTGCTATGACACCAAGGCATTCTGCCCCCATATTCTGCATGTTTCACACAACTGGTAAGTGGCAAAACCTAAACCCAAATCCATCTGATTCTGGAACTTCATGCTGTCTGTTGATGCATATCACTTTCCTGGATTTCATTTTCATCCTCTGTCTTCTGTGGAGCTCAAATGAATACTGTTTGTGAAAATGCTTTGTGTATAGTGGAACACCATGTGGTATTTATTGACATTATTGGTGTTATTTTTATTTTAGGTTGCCATTGTCCTTAAGTTAGGTAGCCTTTTAAATGCTTTTCTCAAAACTCTTCATCTAGACCACCTTTCTATACCACTATGAGACTGACGTTTTGCAATTTTTTCTTTCTCCCCAGGATGGTTCCTACCTGGCTGAGTTCCTGCTGGAGAAAGGCTATGAGGTGGGTGACTCAATGGGAAGCGGGCGCAGGCTGGTGGGGTTGCTCGCATGCAGCGGCCACATGCTTCCTCTGCTGCCGTCCTCCTGAGTGTGTTTTCCACTGAAACGCAGATAACAAATCAGAATCCGGGGAAGAATGTGTCTTTGGGCTTGTGAGCCTGCCAACCCATTGTGCTGTTTATCTGCTGGTGAGCACTGGTGGCTCCCCTGCACTCACAGTGTTCAGCTGTGGTGCACACTTCCCACATTCTCCGATAACGCAGCAGCCTGTGCAAGCGAAGCTGTAACATGATTCGGGTTAATTTATGATGTAATGTGTTTCATAAGAAAGTCCTACTCACCATGAAGTCACTTAATTCAGAAATTACAGAGAACAATAAAAACCAAGCTGATTGTTGGCAAACTTGAATGAAAAATTTATACCTGGAGGTTTTCCTTTCTAATAGGCAACCATATATTTTATGGAGCTGAAACTTTTAGGTTTGCTGCTTTTGTCGTTGTCTTCACCATTTCTCCTTTCCTTAAAAGAAACAATAGTTTTATATATTAATTTTGATGTGCTAAGTATGTACAACTTAATTTTTTAAAGAACGTTTTTCAGATATATACATGTATATAAATTCATGCTATACAGAAAAAAAAAAAAACCTTTACAGTGGCCCGTATGCTCTGATCTGTTTTATGAATGTTTACATTAATACTTTAGGATTATCTGTTTATTCTAATTGTTGGTACGTTGTTTTAAAAATGTGTAATTGGGGCAAATGGAAACACAACAGGAAAGAATTTGGCATCTAAATGCCAACATTATTTGAAGAAAAAAAGTTAATTTTCTTTTAACTCATAATCTGAGAGCCTTGACTTTTAGACTTGAAGAAGTAACAGTAGATATGTTTAGCACCTTCTGTACCCTTATCCAAGAGCTAATGCTACATTTTGTAATTATATGAAAATAAATGGAATTATGAAAGTACATATGTATACGTATGTCCATATGCATAAGCTGCTGTAATAATCGAGAAAGAAATGCATATTCTACGGAGCAGAGAGTTTTAGAGTAGGTTATGTATAGTACAAAGTGTTGGTTTTAGAGAAAGACCTATATTTATTCAGGCTAGATTAACCTAACGCCTTAATATCTGTTAAAAGGAATAGCTTGGCAGAGAGATGCCCATACTGTGTTTCAGATATTTGGGATGAGCTGAGAGATGTTTGGTGGCTAGAGAGGAATTAGTGATGTTGTTGTGTATCGAGTGAACCTAGAAAATGAGCTAGCTGAGCAGAAATCGCTGCACTTGTGAAGAGTGAGGTGGCGTGTCAGGCATGTCAGAAGTGATGCTCAAAACCACGCAAGTGTTGCGATCCACTCTTAGGGGGACAAGGTGGGCTGAGACTGGAGGTGAGGGTGGTGTTAACAGGCAGCATCTGTGTCTAGTCCAGAGGAGGAGGGAGCACGGCTATGCGCTGCAGTGATGGTGGACCCAGTGACAGTGACAGGGCGAGTTTGGATGTGTAGATGGCAACCATTCTCAAGCACCTGGTACTGTTAGTGTTACTGGAAAAGGCAGAGAAGCAGATCTCCATTTAGGTGTCCCTTGTTAAGGAACTAGCAGACTTCAGAAGACAAGAAGGATGAGAGATTTGCAAATCGATGCAACAAGAACCTAGGACTGCCAGATAAGCTGCAGATGTTTTTGTGGTATTTGAAATTGTAAGAGCAGATTTTATTATGACACAAAAAGACAATAGAAGGCCCACTTGGCAAATCATAGTTAATGGGAGGAATTTATCATTGAAACAATGTTTGAGAGAGAAAACAGGTTTAGGAGAGAGATCCGTGAACTGATAGAAGGAAACATGGTTGACACTATAGCGGGAAAGTACACAGCCACAAAGCATAATCAGAAATTAGTTCTCTTCCTAGTCCAGGGGAAATGTGAGCTCTCTGCATATTGTGGGACTGTAAGTGTGTTTATCCTTACTGTATTCAACTTTAATAGGCTGCTGTCCTCAATTTTAAGAGATTCGTATAATTCGAGAATAAACCATTAGGAGGAATCTGATGGTGGCACAGGCCTTATGTTTTTATGCTTAGGTCAAAGTAAATGTTAGAGTAATTTTTCAAATTGGCTGCATTGGAAAATTTCCCAAATTATCAGCTGCAGTCCCTGATTATTGAAGGCCATGAGTAAAAGAATAGGATTAGTAGATTGCATGAAGTAGGATGAGAGAGGGACGTATTTTATTACGTGTGAACTCGGGGTGGGGGGCAGTGGTGGTGGTCAACATCAGCAATTTTGGATGCTTACAGACTTCAGACTCTCAGCCTTTAGTGTGCATCAGAATCACTCAGGCCCTGTTAAGACACAGAAGGCTGGTTCAGGGATCTGGGAATTGTTCTTTCTAACACGACCCCAGTCAGTGTGACATTGCTTGCCTGGGTACTACAGATAGAGAAACCACCACAACTAAAGGTTTAGATGAGATCAGGTGATTGATTGAATCATATGATGAAGTTGAACACGGTACCCTAAGACATTTTAAATCCGTGAGGCCTTGCTTCTCTGGGTTGCCATATTATTTTGAATCTAGCCTTTGTATGAGGTATACTACTAAGGTCAGGAACAGCTGGAAACAACCTACTTAGGGATAGCAGAGGACAAACCAGGAACAGATAAACACTGTGAAGAAGAGCTTGATGCTGAGGCTGAGTTGTTCTTTCTAGAAAAGAAAGGCACACTGGTTGGTTAGCAGTGGTAAGGCCAGCTGTGCATTTTGAAACTGGGAAGCATGGGCAGTGTGGAGAGGCCACAGTCACCTGGAGGGGAGCATGCAGGAGAGCAGGGCCAGGTTGGTGGGGTAGTGATGGTGGGTGGTGTAGGCAAAAACAAACCCTGTGTATGGAATTCATGTAGCACAGTTAGACGCACTCCTTTACTTTTTCTCCCATCAGAAAAGCAAAATGAAAGTATAAATAACTTAGCTAGCCTTAAAGCAAAAATAGGCATTTGCAGATGACTTGAAAAGCAATAGCGTGTACTAACAGATTGATTAGTTGTGGTTAATCACTTTGTGTCACCTCACGCACATTTAGACTCCTGAAGCCGTGGGGCCTTGCCATCAAATGTGGCCACTGAAATCCACACATCTGATCATGCTCTGAATGAACCGTTTGAAATGAAAAAGTGAAGGGTTACTTCTCACTGAGAAGTGACTCAATTTAAAAGTTTAAAGGGACAGTTTTTAATGTTGTTTGTTTCTTGAATTTTGCTCAGGATTAAATGTTAAGGAGAGCATGAGGAGAATGGATGTAACACTCTTTCATTCTTTATTACCTACAGGGGTCATCTCATAATGAGGAAACCTAAGAATTCTTGGGTTTTATGGACAATCGCTCTTTGATTATGCTATACACTTAATTCTACACATTGCTGAAGTGCAGAGGATCATTCTCCTTTATCCCTGTTGACCAGTACAGAGCCAGAGGGGTGGACAAAGTGGTTAGCTCGCTGTGGCAAAGGAGCCTCAGGCTGGGCACTGGACACCTGTGTCTCACTCTTCCTCTGCCACTTTCAGGCTCCGTGACCCTGGGCAAGTCACTCAACCCCTCTGAGACTTAGTTGCCTTTTCTGTAAATGGGGATGATAAGCACACCTATCTCCCAAGGTGGTTGTGAAGGTTAGATAAGACAGTATATGGAAAATACTTAGCCCAATGGAGCTCTGTGGGACTCATGGGCTTATTGATCTGGAGGTGGCAGAGTGACATGGGGTCTAATGTGGACAAGCCAGTGGACACAGATCTTTAATAGGCTCTTTAGTTGGATTCATTAATGAGTATTCCTGAGTAGCAGGCATGTTCTGTTGCCTAGGAAGCTGGAGCTGTTTGCATTTCTTCCTGTCATAAGGGAAAACGGAGGATTGACAGAAATGAAGCTTTTTATGAAAGCGCATTCTAGTTCTAAGTGTGTTTCCAGCACCACTGTTAGCAGATAAACCAACACACTTTTGTACCCATTTTGCACTAAGTACAGAGGAAAACCAGAGAAGTAAAGACAATGTTGAACCCTTTAAAAGCTAAAATCTGGGACTATATGAAAATATATTAAATAACTTGGTAACAGCTACAACACAATGTATCAGAATTTAAAATAAAGAATAGGTAAATTGTGACATGAAGTATCAGCATAGAAAAGAAATGGATATAAGGTTAGTCCCATTGTTATCTCTGGGAGATTTTTTGTTAGAACATGGAGATACTTTCTTTCTTAATCTGTGAGAATCCTTGAACTGGTTTTCTTCTGGGTTGTTATCCCAGAAGCCTTTATACTTTGATTAAAAAAAAGGCTAAGCTTTTATGGATTTCATGTTGAAACTATACTGAGTGTTGGCAGGGCTGACCAAGTCTATGTCCTTTAACGTTGCCACTTACTAGCTGTGTTATCTCAGGCAACATCCTCATTCATGGAATGGGACCAGTAATATTATAGTAAGGGTGTTGTGATGATTAAGTGATTTGATACATACAGAGAACGGTGTCCAGTACATGATCATTGCTGTGTAAGTGTTAGCTATTGATATTACTTAAATAATCTATACTTTTCAAAAGGTGAGTGACATTAACCATCCCTGGGAGTCGTCCTTGCCTCCAAGAGAAATCTAGACACTAAGAATTTGAAATTCAGTGATAATAATTTTCCATTTTCTTGATCATAATTAATAAATAATAAAGCATTTCTGTTATGTTACCTGATCTGACTGTGGATTTTGAAGTTAAATCAACTTTGTTTTAAATGGAAAGAACTTGAAATTTTCCATTTTATCACCTTGTTAAGTGGGACATGAAATTTGTCAAAAAACTCATTTTCATTTATTGTAAGACCTCAGTGTTTCAGAATTATATTTTGTTTTTGAACTACTATAACTTTGTAATGATTTTGATTAAGTTTATATAAAGCCAAATTCAGCTCTTTTATCTTTTCAGTTTGGTTCCTAACACCTCATATCTTTTTCTCCCAAAATCCTTATAAAAACAAACAAAAAGCTCTACCTACATCCCTTCTGTAAAGAGAAAGCCGCTAATCTCAAATTCTTAACTAGATTGTGCAGTTTGCACACATTTTGGCTTGTCTTGAAGTTTGTATTTCACCTGTCTCAGAAGCAGACAGACCCAGCTTTCATTAGTTCTTAGAATAATACCTGCTGTCATGGATTAAGCATTTGGCAGGTCTTTCTTTCCCTGTGTACACATACCAAATGTTGGGAGTTAGAGGAAATTAAAACACTTGATTTAAAAAAAAAGCAACCAGTGCTTAATGCTTTTGATTTTTAATGTGACAGTAAAGTCTTGGTTATGATTGGCTTGACTTTGTATAGTTGTCTGCATTTTAGATGGAATGCATCAAAATCATTTAATATTTTTGTCAAAGCTTTTTATGTTTATATGTAATGAATATATATTAATAAATGGCATGTCTCTATATTTTGGGCTGTTGGAATATGTGACTTCCCCAGAATCCAGCAATCTAGAGAAGATAGCCGAAATAACACTATTGTTATTCTTTTCATTGTCAAACTTAAATTACTCTTTTTAGTATATAGACTTTTTTTATTTAATAAAACAGAGAATTTACATCTGAGAAATCTATTTCATAAGTAACTTTGATAGTAAACACAAGTTTTGCTATGTATAAGTATATATGTGAAATATATACTTTTTGTTAAAATTAAGTTTATAGAGCAGTTCAACTTTACAATTAAGTAGCAACCTGAAAAATTGGAGATCATGAAGTAGAACAGATAAGCTTAAAATTAGTGTTTTCTCCACGTTTAAATTAAGAAGTGGATATGTATAGCCAAATCTCAATTTAATGCTTCCTAGGGTTGAATGTTTGCCTCCTAAAATGTGAAACCAAGTTTGCGAAGTTCCTTTCCTAAAATATTTTCGTGTTTACCAACTTTTCTTGGGTTTCGTTCTTTTGGAAAATAATGTTGATGAGTGCTTTTCTTCCAAAGCAACTAACCAACAGAAATATTAACTGTGGGTGTGTTGTATCCTTCGCAGAAGTCAATTTCTCATGTATGCCATTTAAAATGATGACATTTCTTTCTGTTTGAAAGAAAGTCTTATATTCTTATAATTTACCTCCGTATTTGGAATATTTGAGTCATACCAAGGATTAATTTTGGTTTGAAATAGAAATGATTGAGTTAAAATATAGAAGTATATTCAGCTGCAAATGAACTTTTCAGCATAAGAAGGAACACTTCTAAAATAAGTCAAGGATTAAAACTGCCACCAGTAGAACTGGAACTTGGGCAGCTGGTGACAAGCTGGTGTTAGCATTGGCAGCACAAAGGGAGCAATCTGACATGAGAAGGAAGTGGGACCAGGTCTGGAACAATTTCTCCTGTGTGTCAGACACAAATAGTCTTTTCTTCAATATCAGGCAAGTATGCATTACATTCCTGTTTTATCAACTGTCCCCCCACCCCCCACCTATGGTTAAGTCAAGATAAAACAATTTTAAGAATCCTCTCTTCGTTTGAGTTTTCTTTAGGTCTTAAATCGAGTAGTACATAAGTGCTGTCTCTTACCCATGCTCTTTAGCTTTCCGACTTTTCTACTTAGCTGCATAGTAACATCTGCTCTCTGATGATGTCTGTGGCTCCAGAAATACATACAGTAGATGCAAAGTGCAAGCTCTGAGGCCACTGAGAAGCTGTGATGGCCTGGTGCTCTGTGGTGAGCAGGCCACAAAGGCTGTTTTACCGACACGGCCTCGAATGGTCTGTCTTCAGTTTCAAATGGAAAAGATATTTTTGTCAGCAGTTAGGCTGTAAGTGTGTGTGTTTGGAAAAGGAGACATTTGAGTATCTACAACTAAGCATGAAGTCACATAATTACCTGATTACGTTTGTTGAGATTGGCAGTAAAATCGCTGGGGAAAGACAGAGGTAGGATGTTCGTAGCTGGTGGACAGTGGTTGGGGAGAAAGTAAGCAGTGGGACTATTTCTAATAATTTAAAATAATGCTTACAAATCATTTTTTTCATAAAGCTAAACATTAGCTAAAGAAGTTGTTTATTAGTCCTCATTGCACATTTATCTTTCCACACTGTAAAAACTCAGGTCCATGGAATTGTACGGCGGTCCAGTTCATTTAATACGGGTCGAATTGAGCATCTGTATAAGAATCCCCAGGCTCACATTGAAGGAAGTAAGTCATTTTCTTTTTCTAGAATCTCTTTCTATAAGGTGTTTTCAGATGTTCCTATGTTCAGATAAGGTGTTTTCAAATGTCATTTTTGTCAAAGCCCAACAAGTCACAATTACTTACCCATGAATTACTGCACTGAATACGATTTACATGCCTTGAAAACCTTCCCTGCTCACTGCCCTAGGCCGTAGTGTCATGATGGTTTGGCTGTTAGAAGGCTATGAAGTAGATGGCTTGGAGAGACCAAGAAAGGGCATGCCTTTGATCACCGCTCTGCAGGTGTCCTTATCCCCTCAAGTAAGAGCAGTTCCACACTGGCAGTGCACCGACCCGCTTTTTATATTCAGTCCAATTTAATCAATTTAAACAATCTTTGTACATTTAATTATTTTTAAAAATAATTTGTGAAGATAGGCCCAAATAAATGGCAATCAAAACTGTTCTAAATGACTGATCATTGTCAGCATTTGCAGTTGTTTTGCTGCTTTTATTAATTTGTCTGTATGCAGCTGTACAGTTTATATAGCACAAGCAGACTGTTTTCTTGTTTGAGCTTATGGTAACTCCTGAGGTGGATAGGGAGACCCAGAGAGCACATTATAGTTGAGGAAATGGAGACAGAGAGGTTATGAGTTTTCTGAGGTTGCGCACTGTGAAGAAGGCAGAGCTGTCACCAGGACACAGGGATTTTAACTCCAAGTTCAGCCTGCATTATGTGGCCAGTTTTTCCAGCCAGCAAGGACGATACAGTCAGCTTGTAAACCATATGTGGTTTTGTATTCACCCCTGACCCCTGCATATTTGAAGGTTTGGGCTACTTGTATAGGTAGTGACAGCATCAGGAAGATGATGCAGTTGTCCACAGTAAAAGGCTTTCCACTTTAAGTCATGAAGTGTGTTGTCTTTGAAAATCATTATTGTTTTTGTGCAAAGTTCAGAACAGTCCTGCCACTGGATGTAGATATAGATCAATATTATGTAAAAATGATGAAAAGATCAAGTTAGTACATCACCCATCCACATGTATCAAATTCTTATGCTAATGAAGTCAGTGTAAGGATCTGTTTAGATTTAGGAGTTGTCCTTCAATCAATTATGTCACCACATCGGGCATTCAGTCAGGGCCTAAGGTTGATGTTTATAAAGTACTTGAAAATTACTAGATAAAAGTATCTAAAGAAAAGAGAGCTGTCTTCATCATCATCAGTGTTATGGATTGCTTTAGATGGTATACATGTTATTACAAGGTTTTCTTTTTCTGAATCTCATTCTTGCAGAACACATCTTACAACCACCTGGAGCCCTAAGATATGTTATTGTATAACATGTTCGTGATACTGTGCTTTAAAAAACATTTTTCTGAGTTTACCACCAAAATCTTTTACAGACATAGGCATTATGTAGCTATCTTTCTATTATTTAGGTAAAGGTGACAGTTATATTCTGCTACTCCAGAACCATCAGTACAGCATTTCCATTTTGACCCTGGTTTTCAGACTTTCCAAATATGCATTTCAATTTTGATGTTTTTAAAAATTGAGCTTATGTTGCTTTTCTCTATCTAATGGGATGTTTTTGTATCCTGAAGACATGAAGTTGCACTATGGCGATCTCACTGACAGTACCTGCCTTGTGAAGATCATTAATGAAGTAAAGCCCACAGAGATCTACAACCTTGGAGCCCAGAGCCACGTCAAAGTAAGCATTTTCATTGGGATTTCTCTGGCCGTGTTTCTGTGGCGTTCTGTATTTTACTTGTGTCTGCTGCTTCTCAGTGTAGTAATATAATCACTGGTCTTAGTCTTCAAGTTGAATTGTCAGTGTTAGTTTAAGTATTAATCCTAATTGAAGTACTCATAGATTTTTTAAAAGTCTCTTGTCTGTTATTAAACAATATAATAAAACCTTACCACTAATATTGGAATAGCAGTATTTGTTTATTTTGGGTTGTTCCCTGTAGCCATGAGGCCCATGGATGTGTTTTCTGCCATTTCAAATAACAGATTGTGAATTAAATGTTTTGTTAAAATGTTGGAAGATGTAACTAAGTAAAACCTTTATGTTAATATCAATTTTTGGTAGCGGCTAAATTACTGGCTGAGAGAATATTTTTGAGTCCCAATAATATGTTAAAATTAGCTGAATTAACTTTTTAATTGTGAATGGTAAAAATCATTGGAAGAAAGCTTTTTAGTCTCCCTCCTCCTCAGTGTGATATAGCCAGTGTGGATTTTCCCCTCTATTCGCATTCTGGAAGGAATCACGGTAAACATCACAGGCCCATCCTTAGGGTTCTAGTGGTCTGCTTAATTCAAGTTTTTGTTGCCGTGTCCTCCTGCTCACATGAATAAGTGAAATCTGAAGCCATGAATGATAGGAGTTCTATTTAGATACTTGTTCAGACAGGATGGTTAGTGGACCTGAGAAATAAAAGCAAGTAACTCTTAAGTTATAAAAGCCCCTCAAAAGTCCAGAAAATGTATGAGGTTTTTTTTTGTTTGTTTGTTTGTTTGTTTGTTTTGCTATTTAATGAACAAGTACAGGAGTCTTATTTCAGAAAGTTTTTCTTAGGTGATTGGCTATTTTTCTGTATCCCCATGTTTGCATAGAATGGAAGCTAAATGCCTATTCTATATACCTCTGCTTGTTTAAGGAAGAAATCATGAACTAGATAAAATGAAACCAAGTGGAGAACATGGTGAGAGAAACATAGCAATAAACTCAATCTTATAACTGATTGCCAGTCTTCATTATATGTATTTCTTTCAAATGTTAACCTTGAAGGATGGCTACATATCGATGAATGATGATACCTCATATCTGCCTGTGCTGTCTATGAAGAAACATTTTTCTTTTCTTAATCTGTGATGATTCTGTTCTATATCCAGACTTTCACCAAAGTCTGTGAAAGGTATCAGGGTCTTTAGGTTACAGCTTAGCTATTTTTCTAAATGATTCTCCATGTGTTTTTTCATTTTGGAAAGTCTCTTATGCATACTGTGTGCTTGAGAAATTACATCCCTTCTTTCCTATAGAGAAGCGGTGACTTTTTATCATTCCAGGAATGAAGACTTTATTTTTCCCTAATTGAGGTAGTCAGTCTATCTTCCACATTATAAGTCATCTGGCTGCTTCTTGACCTTCCTGACCAGCCATGAGAGTATCTTCCAGACAAAACAGAATGTTTTGGAATGAACATTCTGTTATTCAGTTTCCTTTAGATTAAGAAGTTTCCTTTGTAATCATAGATAGTTTATCACCTCTAGGAGCTGAAAATTGTAATGAAAGATGCAGAAAATTTTTATAAAGGTTTATTTATAGAAGACCTTCCCCTTGTCATTTAGTATTAAATGGGCTGATTCTTTCCTTTCCCCAAAACATATTTATAGTTCAGAAATATGTTATAGTTGGTTTTCTTAGTTGTAGTGATCATGATAGTGTTTTGTTATCGTTCTGGTGTGGTTGTACTGTAAGTAATAGAAATCATAGGCTATTGAGTTGGTTCCCTCTACATTGCTACACATGTGAAGTTTATCTTTTTTTATGGTATTTTGGCTGCTTTTCTTAATGGTTAGTTAATGGGCGGAAATGGCACTCTTCAGTGAGAATTTTGGTTTGTAAGGTCATTTAATCTTCCAACAAATATTTGTTGAGTGCATACCTCATGCAAGGTGTCATGCATGGTACAGTACGAAAAGCTGTGTCAGATACACCTCTGCTGTGGGGGTTTCAACTCTAGGAGGGGTGATTGGCACAAGTGTCTGACTCTTTAGAGGAGGGTAAGAGAGAACTTCCGTCTGGGGGTAGATGGATAGTGCGAGGCGGAACCGACACTGGCTCTGGTGTTGAGGTATAGAGAGGACAGTTACAGAGTTACAGACGTAGCGGGAAACTAATAGTTGAAACGGGGGTAATAATATGAGGCAAAGAGAAGTGGGAAAACTTGGTACATGTTTGCAGCATCATGAGCATTCGAGATGAGCTGAGCAGAACCAGTATGAGGAGAAGTGTGAGGTAAGGTCAGGTAGGAAGCTGGGCTGTGCCTGGGCAGCTACCCATGTTTTGAACGGGGGAAGATATATTCAGTGATGACTTCTAGAGGTAAGAGTCTAGAGGTAGGGCTTAAGAAGAGCTAGGAAGTTGCTGGATGAGGATGGTGTCACTAGAAATGGGGGTGGGAGTGAGGAATGAAACAGGATGCCAGGTGGGGCTGATTTCTCTATGCACTGATGTGGTCACTAGAGAAGAGGGAAACCCAGGGCTCCAGTGCCCAGGGGACCAGAAGGTCAATAGAACCAGTACTAGAAACCGACATTCAAGGAGGAACTTTTGGAGTGGGGTTGGAGAAATAAGTTCCCTTTTGGAAACATTTTACTGGCGTTACTTGAAGGACATTCAAGGGAAGCAGGCTATAAGGTAGCTTCAAATATGCTGTGAGTTTTGAGAGAGATCTAGGGTACAGAGCTGTATATTCAGCTCTTGAGGTCTTAAAGATGCCAAGTAGTAACTGGAGAAAGACGGGTAGAGGACTGAAGATTGAATCTTGGAAACAGGTTGATAGTGAGAGGGTGGGATGAGGACAAGTAGGGCTGATGACTGAAGTGGAGGAGGCAGAGGGTGGGATTGTGCCATGGCAGTCAAGAAATTGGGTCATTGCAAGCAAGAGGGGATGAGGCTAGGAGAATGAGGACCAGGAAAAGTCACCGGCCTTGCCAGTTAGGCCAGCGAGGATTTGTGACGTTTTAAAGAAACATTTTAGTGATGTGACAGAAGAACTTGGCCAGCGTGCAAGGGGTTTAGAAGTTGAGAGGTTATAAGGGAAATGCAAATTGAATGCATTTTTTTCCAGAAATTTTTATGTAGAGGGACAAGAGAGAATATGATGGGTAAAGCTTGTAGCATCATTTGTGGGTTGCCAGGCCTCTCTTCAGAATCCTTGATTCTTTAGGTCTAGGGTGGGGTCTTCGAACTTGCATTTTTAGGGTGTGTCCAGATGATGCTGTCCCTGGTCTGGGAACCGCACTTTGAGAACCCTTGTTCTAGTGTTTCAGGTTTCTTGGTTTATCCAAATAGAATATGTTCCTTAAATGCTTTCTTCTTAGACCTTTGCCTTTAATATATAGGTTTTTGAGTTTGATGTAAAATAATCCTATTACTTACTAGTTAATGACTTAATGAGCTTTTAAAGCCCAAAACTACGTCTGCAGTCAGGAGTTATAAGAATGGAAAGCGAATATGATATATGTTTGTATCAAAGTTCTTGATATTCAGAAACCTCTTTTTCTGAATTGTACATAGTCTGAGATAATAAATACTTCTCAAGTACTTAGTATGAACAGCTCCTCTTAGAATGTCCTTCGAAATCCCTGTTCCATACCACTGTTTATGCTGTGATCTGTGGACAGGCTTCGTCATGGCCAGAGCGGGCGTGGGGAAGGGGCCTGGGATGATGGCGCCATGTGATCACAGACTGCTCATCTGTCAGGTTGCTGGCAGCATGCTGCTGTGTTCCCTCACCTCTCCAGGGCTCTCCATGGTGGGTTGCAATTGTTTGTTTGTTTTCTAGTAGCTTGTTAGGGAAGGAATTAGGATGAAAAAATACATATTTTGTTTCTTATAGTTAATTTCTCTATATTAATCAGCTTTGTAGAATTTATTGTATTCATAGATATATTTAGACAAAAAAAGTTACTTCTGACAGTGTAATGTTTGCCATAAGATTAATTAAATTTCTTGTTATTTGGTTTGGTGTCCTTTTGAAAAAAGGTCCTAATATTAGCACACATTTGCATTTAATTTTGCACCCGTGACTTCTAGACTGGGTGTTGTTTGTGTTGGCTTCTGTTTGTATGGAATAAAGTCTCCTACCGCTCTCACTTCCAGTTAACTTGATGTGGGCTAGGGTATGCTAAAAGTAAGGAAAATAAAATAATAGGAAGTTGCTCTGGTTTCCTGTAGGAAACCAGCGAAGATGAAATTGGTTCTTGGAATAAACCCACAGAAGTCTGGGAAATACTGACTGAAGACATTTTTCTGAATCATAAACAGAAAAATTATGACTCATGAAGTAGGTCATTGAAAGGCTGGTTTGATCTTATGTGGGAGAAAGTGAGAGATGACTGAAATGTACTAGTTATTAAAAGAAGTTAAACCTAGCATGATGACATCATCCAAGTAGGAACAAATTATCCAATGCGTAGTCCTGCCCATTTGATGGAGAAAATGTTTTAGGAAACTGCTTTTTTTGTTGTGGTTGTGCGGTTGGTTGGTTTGTGTATTTTTTGCTGTGTAAGTAATAGTGTTGCTTAATTGTTTAACTTTAATTGCTGTCCGGATTTTCGATTCGTCCCCCATGTCTTGGAGCTTCTTTAATAATCTTAATGTCATTTTCAAAGTAGTGGTGTTGGTGAGATCTTTCTACAGTGAACCTAGTGCAGTATTTCTTTCCTTTGCCTCACAATGCCATGTTGGAATTGCCTTGATTTTTCTCAAAGAAACAACAGTTATTCCATTGTGGAATGTGTCTTTAGTGGAGACAGAAAGTCACTTAGTCTTTTTTTTAGTTTTGAAAAGGATTTTCAAATTCTTTCTCAGCGTTACAAACCATGAGTGTGTCTTTCTTTCACTTTCTCTTACTCAGATTGAATAACCCATACTTTCTACTCCTTTTCTAACCCTTTAAATATCTGTATTACTTTCCTTTTCAAGTCTCTGTGTAAGTTATTTGTTTAATTTTGTTTCAGGACTGCTAGGAGGCATGAGTGCCTGGGAGGTACACTGGGTCATGACCATGTGGCAGGAGCTGAGATTTCCTCACAGAGTTGTGCGGGACAAGTTAGCAGATTCTGACTGTGGAAGCCCCAGGGGGTTGAGTCTGAACACTCCTCCACGTGGGACTTCAAGCTTGGGATGCCAGTCAGGAGGCAGAGTTGACTGTGAGTCAAGGGGCCAGTGCGTTAGTGACCTGGCACGAAGTTAGAATCTAGGAGGGATGAGACAGAAAAGCTAGTTAAAGGAATGGAGGTGGGAATAAAAATAGCCATAGGAATTAAATCTGTGGCCCCTGGGAAAGGGCCCAAGAAACTGAATTACCTAAGCTAAAGAACTGTCATCTCCAGTGACATTTTCCTGGTGGTTCTGAGAGTTGAAATCCGTACCTTAATAGCTGACCCCCATATTCGTCCCCAGGAAGCCTGAACCTCTTGGGGCTGTTCTAATTGAGGGAGGGGGGTGGGTGAACAAATACATTGGGAGAATTGCATTATGGGGGGGAAGGGCGGTTGGTGAAAGGTGGGAGTCTATAGTTGAACATCTGGTTAGTGCCTGGCTAACCCAATTATAGAACAAAACAAAATTGCAACAGCGTGGCCCTTTACCGTGTAATTACAGTAAGGATAGGGGGTAGCCTATTAAAAACCCAGAGCAAACAGCAGAGAGGGACTGTTCTTCTGTGTTCTTGCTCATTCATTTATTTATTTTGGACCCTGGGGAGCCTGACAGGGAGGTGTGAGTAGAGCAGGAAAGTAAGGAGCAGGCAGGGAGCGTAGCTATTGCTGTTAGAAGGAAAGAGAAGCTGTTAGAACATCCTGAAATGTGGATGAGGGCCTGGCCTGTGGCCCATACAATTGCATGTTAGCATTCAGTAAGTTAACATGTGTGAATACAGCCATCGGCCCTTTACAGGCCCTGTGCCCAGAGGATGCAGCGGGGAGACATTATGTCCACTACTGGAACAGACGACTGCCATGGGGCAGAAGAGAGGAATGTTCTCACAAGAAACTATGGTCCAGGCAAGGTTATCAAATCAGGGGTGCATATCACGGTTCCTGGGACACACTCTAAAACTTCATATCCAGGTCCACACCAGACCCTGGGTCTTGGACTTTTCTGTGGCTTAAAATCCTGGTCACGTCACATGCTCACTACATGACCCTAAGAGGGCACTTAGCCTTTTTATGCTTCTGTTTTTCTCATCCATGCAGCAAGCACCTGCCTTAGGCTGTGTTTCCTTAAGATGTGATTCTACCTGTGGGCCTATGTATGTGGACTTGACTGTAACTCTTTTTCCCTAGATATCTACTTGTCTCATTCCCTTAACTACACTCGAACTTAAGCATCAGCTTCTCCGTGAGGCCCCCTGACCATCCTGTCTCCAATAATATCTCTCCTGGGATTGGACCCTCACCACCCCAAGTCCTGATGAAGGAGGCAAGCAGTGAATGCAGTGGGCATGGGGGAAAGGAAATATGCATTGGCCGCTGTGTGTCCTCCTTCACTTCAGTCCCAGTGTGCTGCCTGCTCACAGTTCAGTCTAACTTGAGGCAAATTATCTAGAGAAATGGATGGGCTCAGGTTACATAGTCAACATATCCGTCTTTGCTGTTTCTGCCTGGGACTGAGGCCTGTCATTTGCCTTAGCTGCTGTTCGAAATGATTGCAAGAATGTCTTCCTCATTCAAATAACTGTATTTCCTGCCACCAAAATGTTAACTTGTTATGATGTATTCTAAAGGAAAAAGTGATGTTTTGGATCCTTTGTTTTTTAATAAATGGGCTCTAGAATTCTAAAGTGGCAAAGATTTTGGCACAGAGCCAGCTCAAGCACTTATTTCACAGGTGCCCACCTGGACGTGCGGTTCATAAGCAGCCACACGCTACCTAGTCTCCAGCCCAGATATGATGCCACTCAGTCTTCCTGTCACACTACTAAGCTGAGAATACCGAGGTGGGCAGTATCGTTGAACTGTGAGGGGAAGATACCGCAGGACTCTGATACTTTATATCGGACCTCTTGTCATTCCCACTGTTTACTACGGTGAAATGAAGTTTTGGTGCATTTGAGTTTGAGTTTAAAACATTGTTCTTTCCTTGCTGGAGGGAACTGGTTTTAATTAATACCATATGAAAGAGTATTTGAATAGCTAGAAGATCCCCAAATTCAACAATGCCAGGTGCAATGTTAGCACATCAGTGATACTAACATAAAATTAATATATATAATATATACAGACAACAGAAATCCACGGTACTAACTCATCAGGAATGATAATCATCTTTTTGGTTAGGGTAGTACAATTTAATTCAATATAAAATTTAAAATTTTGAATATCTACACCATGGTGGTTTGTAAGTTAGCTTCCCTAAAAGCTATGGGAGGCAAATAATATTTGCTACAATTTCTTAATGAAGACGTTGTTAGAATGAGCAGCTTGTTCCTATTCATACAATTATTTTTAAATGAAATTGTCAAGTCAGTTATATAAGTATAATGTGAATTAACCTATTTTCTAAGATCTAAAAATAAATATTTCTGCTTTAGCACTGAAAATACATTTTTGTCCATATATTAGTATACACAAACTGTAACTTCATATTGGGTCTCTGAAGATAACTTATTTTGCTTAGTATATTTATGAATCGATATAGTTTATTATGATGTTATATGAGTTTTAAAACTCATTGTTTTCTTGTCTTATGTAATTTTTAGATGTGCTCAGAGCAACATAAATCACTCTAGTTTGTTAGCAAATTATGAATGTTCAAATAATAAAGATTCCTTATGAGCAGAATGCTTTACTTGTTAAAGAGCAGTGAGTACTTTGAAAGCCTGAGGATTAATAAGGTATGTTTGCATTTAGACCTAATATCCCTGCATACTATAGTGCCTTTTGTGTCTAGAAGAATTAGCTCTCTTACAGGTACAGTGAGTAGGTGCTTGGAGCAAAGACTGGATACTTTTAATCTCTGTGAATAGGTGATGTGGATGGAACAAACCTCTACGGTCAAGTAATGTTACGGTTTTGTTTGTTTTTGTTCTACAAGCTCCCATTTCTTTCTGATCAGTCCTGTTGTCCCTTCACCTGTGTGGACACAGCCCCCGTGATAACTTAATACAGTTTGTAACCACTTTTATTTGTTACAGCGCAAAATTGCAATACGAAACCTTTTTCATTTTATAATTTCATGTTTAGGTTTATAATGAATAAACACCACGATTGTAAATATGACTAGTTTATTCCCATGGTTCTTAGGAAGAAGTTGAGCATGTTTGACTTTGTATTCATCAGGGTAGGCAGGAGTGTATGCTGTTGGTGGGTGCCTGTGTGTCATCTGGCTCAGATTCTTCTTGGAAGCCTGTTGTAGATTTGAGCAATTGAATTCAAATCTAAAACCACTTAAAAAGTCCTTTATAGTCCATTAAGAATTTATATGAGAGAGAACACTCTATGAAAGTTCTCCTCTCCCTGTTCAAACAGATTGTTCTGTTTTATTAGAGCTAGGTGGTATTGTAATTTTGATAACAGCTAATAATGTTTGGAATTTTGCTCATAATTAATTAGTGGACCACACAAAGCTATGCTTGTTGGGTTTTTCACCCTTAATGTGTTTATAAATAGTGGCTTGTTTACTAAATAAAATCCAGAGTAGCATTATTTTAGTATTGCAACATTATTTTATATATATTAAGCTAAAATTAATACAAATAGCTAAATGAACATATTTACCACAATATTAATTTCTAGATGCTATTTATAAAAATGGTGGGTAAAGAGTAAGTTAGTAAATACACTGTGAGTAAAACTTTTCCTTTTTTTTTTCTTTTTTTGAGACAGAGTCTCGCTCTGTCGCCCAGGCTGGAGTGCAGTGGCACCATATTGGCTCACTGCAATCTCTGTCTCCTGAGTTGAAGCAATTCTCCTGCCTCAGCCTCCCGAGTAGCTGTGATTACAGGTGCCCACCACCACGCTCAGCTAATTTTTGTATTTTTAGTAGAGACAGGGTTTCACCATGTTGGCCAGGCCGGTCTCCATCTCCTGACCTCAGGTGATCCACCTGCCTTGGCCTCCCAAAGTGCTAGGATTACAGGTATGAGCCACCTTGCCCAGCCAGGATTCTTGATTAGATTACAGTATGTAATTTACATAAATTAAGGTGAAGACATAAATGATACTTTGTTTAATACCATAATGTATCTCCCCCGCCCCCAAAATTTGTATGTATATTTAAAAAAATTAGACTTAATACCTCTTTTAAAATACATAGTAAAGCTTGATATTAAATATGATTTCTACTTTATCCTTACATATGGCGGAGTTTATAAAATTTGCCTTGTTAAAGTTGGATCCTTAAAGTTAGTACGGTAAAATAAAATGAAATCTTTTCTAGTTCAAAAAATGTAATGCGTAAGAATTTTTTCTGCTACTTTGTACTGTAAATCATTAATTGGATACCTTACCAGTGCCAGCAAGAAATAAATCATATGAAAATGGTTTGAATGTATCAGATTTCTATTTTTTGAAAAATGTCTAAGATCGAAGATGAGTGATTAGTAGGTATCACTTTTACTCTTTGAAAAATGGCAGAGTATGTTCCTAGTTTGGAAATGTTAATTTAAAGTGTAATCCACAGCGAATTTAGATTTGCTTTATTTATAAGAAACCGCACATCAAGCCTTGGTTTGGCATGTTACAGCTCCGTTAACAGTTTATCGTTAAGAGACTGATTCTTTAGAAAATGTTGCACCCTGAAAGGTTAGCTCAACTTGTGTACGGTTCTAGTGTTGATAATTAAAGTGAAATGTTTGCCAGAGAAGAGGAGTATTGTGTTGATAGCAATTATGCAGTTATTCTAAATGGGAGCTGATAGAGAAGAGGCAGCAGTTTCGCACTTCTTATGCTGTTTGGTATATCAGGGTAAAAAAACCTGTTCCTGAGTTTCTTTTCTACTCCCATTCCATATATTTCATTGGTGCCAGGTTTTTATTTTTTTAGTATATAACAGTAAAGTCTTTTAGAAATTAGTGGTATTGACAAAATAAACCTTTTAGGACATTCTTCAAGACTGTCAACCCACATTATTAGTACTGATGGTAAATAACCAGTCTTTACCCTGAGTGCATGGATTAATTGTTACATGGTGTAGGGGACAGGGTTTTTTTGTTTGTTGTAACATTCCCATATGGCTCACACTAGAGTGCCTTTCTATTTGTTTGTTTGACACTAACTTATCTTAGGACAATTCAGAGCCAGTATGGTCAGTCCTAAAGGGGAGGCTGAGAGGCTCTTTAGTGTGGTCTGATACATTTCTCCATCTTCCCTAGAGAAGAAGTGTTTGAATATTTGACAGAAGTTAGTCGATTATTATGTCACAATATTTGAGTTATTGGTTGTTTACATAATGTGTGTAAATAATTTTTTCATCTGTTTGCTTTGCATTTGCTTTATATTAAATATTAGGAAAGTGTTTTGGTTTAGTGATCATTTCTTTTTTTTTTTTTTTTTTTTTTTGAGACGGAGTCTCGCTCTGTCACCCAGGCTGGAGTGCAGTGGCGTGATCTCCGCTCACTGCAAGCTCCGCCTCCCGGGTTCACGCCATTCTCCAGCCTCAGCCTCCCGAGTCGCTGGGACTACAGGTGCCTGCCACCACACCTGGCTAATTTTTTGTGTTTTTGGTAGAGACGGGGTTTCACCATGTTAGCCAGGATGGTCTCGATCTCCTGACTTTGTGATCTGCCCGCCTCAGCCTCCCAAAGTGCTGGGATTATAGGCGTGAGCCACCGCACCCGGTTAGGTTTAGTGATCATTTCACTCTATCATTTGGCAAGATATTTAGATTGCAATTTAGCAAAAATTAATTTATCTTATTGGAATTATTTACTTAAGTGACTTAAAATTTCAACTTTTGTTTTTCAAGCATAAGTTCATCAAATTTGCCAAATTAAAATTTATCAGCAGCAATAATGGAAAAAATCTATTGGTTATGTTCAATAATATTATGTTAAATAATGTAACTTCAGTCATTTTTCAGTTTTATAAATTTGCTTCACAGAGAAAGAAATGGAAATTTCCAATAAGCTTTACGTTTGTGTAGGGAAGCAAATTATCCCTAAAGCTTCCTTCTTCATCCCTCTAGATTAGAGACATGATTGTTTTTGAAACTGAGGAAGTTTCTGGTGTGTTTAAGAATGTTGTGCTCTTTTATACACATAGATGGCAGCAAAGAATTAGACAAAGGAAGTGAACCTTGCAGTTGTAGTGAAAGATGAGTGACAGTACAAACTGACTCCATCAGCATAGCTGCCTGTGTCTCATACTTAAACATAAAATAAGAAAGAAAGCTACTATTGATAACACAAGAATATAGGAGAACGAAGAAGGCTCTGAGAAGCTGTAATACACTGAATTTCTGGACAAATCCCAGGTGGGGAAGCTTAATCTTTTAAGGTATGTCATCCACTCCTGTAAGATGATTGAAATCAGCTAAGATAATATGCATGTCAAAATAAAGAGACAGTGAAGGGCTGAGGGGCAGTAGGGCCAGAGGGAAGTAAAAGAGAAACCACGCACAAGTTGCAGCGGCAAGCAATAGCCTGCTGCCTGCGGGCACTGTGGAGTTTGGCCTGCATGTCTCCTCTTTAGTTAAGCAAGTTACAAAGAGGAAATGTCAGTCCACGAATCAGGCAAACATTCCCTGGGAACGTTTGCTCAAATGTCAGCATTTTAGAAAATAGAACTGTAGTCTATTATGGTTCAGTCCCCATACTGGGTTTGCTGTTAAGTGCACAAGCACAAATATATTGCTTAAGAATGCATTTGCTATTAACAAGTCATTTTATGTCTTAATTAACATTCCTAAATAATGACATAATCACTATAAAAGATGACAGTCATCATTATAATTAATATTTAATATGTGTGTGCTTCCGAGGACCTTTCTGTGGCTTCTCACAAATTTCCAAGGTAATTTTCAAGTTTTAGAATTGCATTTGGTGAGATCACAGTCATGAGGATCTAATGAAGTAGAATCATATTTAGTAGAAACTGAGATTCGGAAGTGAGTTGTAGAAAAGCAATTTGTAACATGTCCTTAACAATCCCATCACCTCAGTATCTTACTAATTATAAACGAAATAAGGGCTTCTTAATGCCACTAGAGTAATGCTAACATTGTTTAGGAAAACATTTCTCCTACCCTCTATTTTTTTTCTGGTCTACTCTCAGGAATTTTAGTACCACAGACTAATCTCTGGGTCACAAAATTTATTCTAAAGGTGTGTATAACAACGTGCTTAAAAGCAGTATCTGGCAAGTCTCTCTTGTGACAGCAACGTTATTTCTGACATAATTATTTTCTTAGTAAATTTGATATCTTAACAACCCCTTCCCTCATTTCTGAGTTCAAAAAATAACACTTAATATAATTTATTTCTCATACTTAATAAAAGCTTACTTGAGAGCATATTGCCATTCATCCTCTAGCTGCTTCCCCCAAATGAGGTTAGAAGGGAATGCGGTTTGCGAGGGTATAAGGTGGTTTCCAGCATCGTACGCTGTGTACTGTAATGGGCCTCAATGTTGTTTTAATGAAGCATTAAACATATTCTGGCTGTTGCTTGTTACTTATTAATGATTAATTGGTTATACTCTGTCATATCAGTAGAAAAAGAAGATATGTATGTAGTTTTTCTGTTTTAAGCAGTCTACTGTGTTAACTTCAGTTTGTATGCACAGATATTATCTGTGTTACCCTAATATTTTTAGTAGTGTAGGCGGTTTGAAAACAAGGACAAAGAAAATTCTGATGTCTAAACACATAATCTTGCAATTTTGTGAATTTTTAATTTAATTAAATGGAATTTTATAAGTTGAACTTTCATTATCATATATTTCTTAAAACCAGGGTGTAAGATAATTGAATTAGTCACAATTACATAAACATTTCTTTATAGGTCATTTTTGAGATAGCAAATGGGTTTTAGATTAAAAGGTTGTTTAAAAACAGCTTTTAATCAGAATATAATATGTTTTGCAGGTGACTGCGTACTTTTTCTTTTACACTTTTAGCCCCTCTTTGGCAGGCATTAGATTTAGACTGTGACTTTCTTAATGCAATAACATCGTGCAGATTATTTATGTGACCTTTTCACTGCCACGGTTTTCATTAAACGGACAGTATTGCAACACCATTTCCTTCAATTGCTTGGTTTCAAAAGAATCGTGTCTCAAGCAGGCAAATCTAAGTGATTTGTGTTGCTTACTAACTGAAGAATATTGTTTTAAAACTTTTTTTAAAAACCAGCATATTAATTTTCTTCATATTAGCACTAGAACATTTATTTTCCTTGACAATATTTTATAAATATTTTGCATGAATAATTAAATGTTGGATAATTAATAACATTTTTTTCAATTTGCTTATAATTTTTAAATGGGCTTTTAAAAATGATACACTTTATAGTTTTTGATGCCCTTTTTAAAGTCTAAAAACAGATTTTGTATGAATTATAGGGGACTTCAATGTTTTATTGGCATTTTATAACCAATTTTAATTTATGATGGCTTTACATTTGTTTACGTGACTACATCTTACAAAATCTTAGATATTTGAAAAATTTCCAGTGTAGTATAATAATAGCTTAAGTAATACTTGCCTTGTTTGTCTTTCTTACTTACTTTAACTTTCACATGGTTAATTAAGTAGCATTCCTGTTGATTAATAAACTAGAGCGCACACTGTTGTTTGAGGTTAAAATACCAAAGTTTTGTGCTTATGATACTTAGATTTTCCTTTATGTCCAAATTGTCCTTTCTTTTATCTGATGTAAAATATTTAAACATATATAGATACTTTGAAAATTATTTAAATTGATAGATGATTGCATGTAATCACGAAGTATGTTTTCTCATGTGGCCATTGTTTTTCAATGAAGTGTTAATGGTTAGTGGAAAAATTTGTGTAATATAAATGCCCTAAAGTTCAATTTTGGCGCTAAATTTAATTGCCTTTTTTCCCCCACAGTTTGTGTCTTTATTTTAGATAAACACATAAGTTCATAAATGTATTGCTCATATTTCGTCTTTCTTGAGGAATGGTTTCAGATAGATTTGATATACTTTCTCTCATTTCGTGGGAGATTCTTTTCTCTTTCTCTCAGTTTCTAACTGGGGATTCCACTTATCAGGTTGAACCATCTTACATGATGATGATTCTTGGTGGTGCAACTTTGTTGGCACAGGATCCAGAGACTAATCCATAAAGCAGTTACTGGATTTCCAATGTGTGAAATATTAGTTTGTCCCTTTTTCTTGTGTTTTTTCTTCTGAAAAGCTTTACTGAAATTTCATTTTTTATTTTCTCTCTTTTTTTTGTTTTTTGTTTTTTTAGTGTTTTTTTACCATGCTACTTATGAAAGAATTTCCTAAGAACTTTCCCAAGTTCTATCACTTGGGAAAAGATGTGTTTTAACTACAACAGAAACATCCCGGTTAAACCCTTATCTGGTCAGAGATTTTTAGTTCCTAGCCAGTAAAAAACTGTTTTTTATAATGTAACATAAATTACATACTAAATTAGTACTTTCAGTAAAAACTTTTCAGTAAAATTTTGACACTTAAATGCTCACTTTTTAAAAAAAAAATCTCAGTAATGTCAGGTCATAGGCACATGAAATGTTTAATACAAAAATTGCAATATCTTTCATAATAACATAGAAGTTAACAGAGTTTTGACTAATCTTACTCATTTTCTTGCATTCTTACAGAAAATACTAGTACAATTGTAACCTTTAGTGAAATTAGTTCTTTGTAAGAATTACATTTCTATATGTAAAACAACTATAAAAAGAGTGCCAAGATTTAATGCGTGCCTTCACTTTTCGGGGACGTTTTATTTTTTCCACTGTAAGTAATCTTAATTCCAGATGTTAGCACATGACATTTTGTGTAGTGCCCCTATCACATGTTTGAGTTTTTTTAACATTAGCTCTATGATCTGATGCTATGTATACTATCTTGACTCGTCAGTGATATAGATTTTGTTGCTGTCATTTAGTTTTTATTAATAGTCTTCCATTTGTATTAGTCAAACTTAAAGGCATATGTTTGTTGCCACATACAAAATATTTTACGGAATAATCTGTAGTTTATTTACATTGTATTGTGACGTTAGACCTTTCTAGTACAGCTTTATAAAATAAAATAGTTGGTTGCATATAGAGGTATCTTATTGAAACATCAGTGTAATGATAAAAATATTAATTGTTGTAATGTTTAGGACATTAGAAGAACACAGATGTGGCCACCTTTTGAAAACTTAGAAGTTATTTATCTCATAGGAATTTGTAATAAATCCAAAAGATAACTATAGGGTTAACACATGGAATGACGATTTCACTATATTGGCAATTTATTTACATTTCTTTAACCCAATTTTAATTGTAATTCTGTGATTTAAGCCTCATTGATTTATATTTTTGATTGGTATATTGAAATATAAAACCTTCTAAATTCTAACTAGCACAGGGTACTTTTTCTTTGTCATGTGAAATTAAGGGAATTAATCTTGTCAGAATTTTTATAATCATGTAAAACAAACCTGTGAGGAAGACACATAGTCTCTCTGGGCCTCAGTTTTCCCATCTGTAAAATAGGATGTGAGGCTTTGGGAAACAGGTAAGAGTTATGCTGTATGTTCTCCAAGATCTCCTACAACCCCAAAATTTCATGATTGTCCAATTTGTTTTTGAAGTGGTATTGTGCTTATCAATATAAATTACATGTCCTGTCTAATGAAAACATCAGTGTTAATAAAACCTAAGGATGAAAAGTTCAGTTTCTTTTAAAAATCATACTTTTTGGGAGAAACAATTGTCAGATATTAGCATATAATGGTTTTTCTCAAGAAATATTTAAAACTTTATATAAAGTTATCTTGCACCTTTTTAAAAACTTAATGCAGAATAGTGGAAATTCTGGGATGGAAAAGGCATTATATTCTATTTTGTCAGAAAGTATAAATTAAAGTTAAATGCTGTATAAGCTTTTGGTCATACTGTTAATATGGGGATATCTTATCTAGAGAAAATTAGTATGTGAATATTTTCTATAAAATAGAAATCTGAATGAAGAAGTTGATTTGTTTTCTTACAGGTAAATAAATATACATGAACTTCCATGAAATGATTCTGAGGCATGTAAATAAATTTAGGTGCCAGTGTTAATTTTCCACATTTAGCTTTGGTATTTATTATAATTTACAGACAATTACAGTAGAACCTGTTGTGCCCCAAAATTGCTCACCAGGGAAAAATACAAACAAACCTATTTCATGCCGTAACTATATTGACTGTATAGGATGTGATTATGAAAACTAAGCTTCTTAATACTGTACTTTCACTCAAGTACAACTTTGCAGAAATTTCTATTTAACGAATTGATGCTTTTTTGTGGGGAAGGGGAAGTAGCTGTTTGGAGAAGTAGTTAAGTTTAAAACACATATTTGATTTGTATAATAATAGACCATTATTGGCCACTGTAGTAAATGTATGCTAAATGAGAGTTTATAATGTAAAAATAGTGGTTAAACGTAGATGACTTAGAGAACAAAAAGTAAATGTTTTAAAAATGTGTCTTTATAAGCGACAGTATTGTAGTATCCCAAGCACAGCACAAATTCCACCTATAGCAGAAAAAAAATAGTTAAAAGTTTTAATTTTCAAAGCGTCCTTTTTTGTTAATTTTTTACTTGAATAAGGGATTTCTGTTGATTTGTAGAGTTTCTAAAAGTCAAAGAAAAATACTTATATAATAATAAAACTTTTCATCTTAACTGTCATTGTATTTAAACCTTGGATTCCCAAGTAAAAGATTCCAGGATTTATAGCTAGCATAGATTCAATTATTTTAAAGCCATCCAGATTCCATTTTCAATTTAGTGGCATTTCATACTGTCAAGGTGGCAAACTTGTTCCTAAGTTAGTTTTTTTAAGCTTATTATCAGCCATAGTTTAACCCCAATCAAGACATTCCTAAGAGGTTTACTCCGAGCTTTTATAAGTTTATTTATATGTCTTGTGGAAATTTTCAGTTCAGTGCAGGGTTTGCTTTAAGTGTTTCTCAACTAAGCGTATAAAAATTAGACTTTTTCTACCTTTTATGAAATTACCATAAGGATTTAAGATTTTGTTTCTAAATAAAGTTATAAACTACGTACAAATTCTTAGATTGGTGTTTATCCTTGTTAATCTATGATAGCTAAAAATATTTCAAGTAGATTACTTTCTTTATTACTAAATTTTCCTTATTTGAAGAGTAATTATAAAAATAATTTATGTGGCTGGGCGCGGTGGCTTACGCCTGTAATCCCAGCACTTTGGGAAGCTGAGGCAGGTGGATCGACTGAGGTCAGGAGTTTGAGACCTGCCTGGCCAACATGGCGAAACACCATCTCTACTAAAATATAAAAATTAGCCGGGTGTGGTGGTGGGCACCTGTAATCCCAGCTACAGGGAGGCTGAGGCAGGAGAATCACCTGAACCTGGGAGACGGAGGTTGCAGTGAGCGAGCCGAGATCGTGCCACTGCACACCAGCCTGGGCGATAAAGAGATTTCGTCTCAAAAAAATAATAATAATAATATTATGTGTAATTTTCTTATTGTCCCAGTTTAGTTTTTTTTTTTTTCTTAAAACATAAGGGAGCATTGAAACAGCTTTATAGTTTGTTTTCACATGCTTTGGTAGTTTGAAAGTTGTTTTGTTTTGTTTGTTTTTATAGTCGTACTAAATTTAGAAAGTACCTGCAAATAAATTCTATTTAATGGTAACCATTTATTTATTTGACATGTTTCTTTTGTTTGTCACTATCCTAACCATGTAGACTGGTAATTGCCTTGCTACGAGAAGATCCTAGTCTTTTCTACAGTCAAACAGCTAGGTTTTAGGGCGGAACTGGAGCCTAGAGTAAAGGCTCACTTTCTTAACTCTTCACTGGGAGCTAAAGCTCTTCTTCCCGTGGCCTCTCCCTTGCTTTGTCAAAGTATGACATGGATGGATTGCTTGGAATTCTTTCAAAGCCTTTCCTGTGTAATAATGATGGCAAAGATTTCAGGCATTTGTCAAGGGCCACTAGCATGTGTGTGACAGCAGTTTAAGGGGGGAAAACAGTGGATTTATTACTAATAAAATATTAAAACTCTTATATTTAAAGCCAGGCATAATTTACATTCAGTTTCACCCCTCGTCGTTTTAGCTGTCCATTTTCTACTTAAGCTGCACCCTCTTTCTCTTCCCAGAAGCCTTCATCCTCCTTTTAGCCACCCCCGCACCACCATCTCCTTCCCTAGATAGGTGATAATGCTCAGTCGCCGAGGGGCTTTGACTAGAGCCATCTGTTCTACTCTCTCTCAAGAACAACAGACAAGGCATTATTCTGTGGGGGCTTGTGTATACAATTATCTACAATAATAAAATATAAAACTACAGAGTTTTTAGATTCCAAAAATTCAGTGATCTGTAACAGCTTCCATTGGGTTTCTGGGTGTTCTTGTAATTCATTTTTTCATTTATTACCTGGAATTTGCAAACTTTTTTTTTCTTTTCAAATATATTTTCTTTATATTTTTGTACAGCATGATATCATTAAAATGATACCTGTTGAATTCACATTGTCTGTTAGTATATATACATATTATATATCTGTCTTTAGTGACTATATAAAAAAGACAACTATTCTTTGACTCTTAAATATATGGGCATTTTTATATATAAAATTTACAGTCACTAACTTAATTAGTCTCTAGATGTGTCTGTGTACACATACATGTAATATACGTACACACAACTAAAATATAAAGTCATGTGTTCATTGTGACTTGTTTGGAATTTTAGTGAGATAACTGTACTTGGAGCTTTTATCCATCTGTTTGAATGGAGAACCTCCCTTTTTGGCATAGGTCAAATAGGTTTTCACTGACCCCAAGCTAGTGAGAATTGTTTTTTTCTATTTGCTTTTGATTAGTCCTAGAATTACTGAGTAATATGTGGACTTCCCAGCTAAAGAACCTATTTAAATGTTTTTTGGAACTAACTATGCCGATTGAATTGTGTTTGACCTACTGACAGCTGTTACTTAGCTTGTCATGCTCCTTAAAATGGCAAATCATTAATGTAGTCCTTTCCACTACATTAGTTAACATAAAGTGTCTTATTTCTGAAATAGACACGGTGAATGTTTCCCTGACTAGGTTGTGCTTAAACAGTGTTCAAGTTTGTAAATATGTTGTTTTCTGAAACAAAAACAAATTCTAGTAATAAAAACAAATTAAATATATATGTTTTTACTTGGAAATCATAAAATATAGTTTATTTCTCTGTACAGGTCCCTGCTTTAAGACACTGGATGTATAACAACAAATCACATGGATATTTACTTCTTTCATTTCACGCCTCTTTTTAATAAACTTTCTGTTTCACATCATTAAAATTAAGATCTACCCTTTTACTCTGCAAACTGGAGGAGAGTTATATAATGTCATAGCTGTACCTCTAATTAATAATGGGGTTGAACTCACTTTATAGATTTAGAAATTCTGGCGTTTCTTTCTGTCAAATGCCTCTTCCTATCCTTTGTCCATTCAGTTTTTATTGCTAATTTGTAGGAATTCCTATTAACTTTTTATCAGGTATATATGTTGCAGATATATTCTTCCAGTTGTCACTTCTATGCTTGCTCTATCTGTGATGTCCTTCACAGAACGTAAATCTTAAATTTCATTGAGGTCAAACCTCTCTCCCCCTTTTTTGAGGGGACTTGAGAATTCTTCTTTTGGATAGCATACTTTCCACAATTGGTGGATGTCTTTCAGCTTCTTTAAAAGTTGTCATCCAGCACATTAGATATATCATTGAAAGGGTTTATATGCTAGATTGAGTTTATGTTCAAATGACTTCCAAGGTTTCATCCAACTCTGCAATTCTAAGATTCCCGTATATTAAAGAGAGATTAAAAATAAAGTGCTCTGTCTATGAAATCTACATCACATTTGCAAGAAACACTCTGTATTTCACTGATTCTGCAACACCGATTTTCAGATGCATCATTATTTTATGTACCATTAGGAAAGCACAAGCTCTTCTGATTAAACTATGACTCAACTCTTTCTCACCACTGAGATTCTTAATATTTTATACTTATTGATAAGCTTATTTAGATTTATTGAGACATGGATTTGTATCATTTTACTCTTGTGTATATGTCTAAAACAAATAGCAAAATGAATTGATTACTTTGCAGGAAAATACAGAATTGTAGACATCCGTCAAGTGGCAGATGTTCTTAAGTTAATACGAGTTTGTGCCCCACTGAGTATTTTAGTTACTTTCTATGTTTAACTTTTTATTACTGAACTATAGTGTCATTAAGCTTAAGATGTGTAATACCTGAAGCATGCACTATTTAACTCAAGTAACTGGCATTAACAGTGATGATCAGGTGTGCACGTGATCAGGCAAGGACAACTACACCACTGCAACCTGGCCGACTGCGATTGTAAGGTACCACCTGATTTTGGGGATAATAGAATATGAGAATATGTACGGCATTCTGTGCTATATTGTAAACCTGGGTGCACGTGTTTAGTGTTTTGGGGGAGTGTGGCATCTGCTCCACAGTTTCTAGAGAAAATAACCATTCATTTGATTCTTAGTGAGAAAATTTCATAGAGAATCATTTCATTTTCAGTGTTGGTATAGTTGTGCTTCCCATACTGTGCCTCCGTTGGTTTAACACATCAAGAAATGTAGCAGCTGGAAGAGATTTTGCAGGTGTCTATGCTTATCTTTTATATAGTGCAGGGGTCTTTTCTGTAGCTTCCCTGACCACATGTAAGAGTTAATGTGTGCTTCCGTATGACTGCCTTTGCTAGGAGCCTGATCTGTATTTGGGCTGCTTTCTGGTGAGAAAAGTCTTCCTTATATTGAACCCAAATCTGCTTCTTTCCAGTCTCTGTACCATTGATTCTAACTCCCCTCAACCCCTAAACTGCACCAAATATGCCTACCCACTTCTTAGGTAAGTTCTCCTTTAAAATGTGAATGTTATTCTTAAATCTGCTCCGTTTTTTCCAAGTACTTAGGTCATGACTGTCCTTATAGAATGTGGTACTGAACACGGTACATGGCACGACCGTCTTCTCTTTTCAGCAGTCTAGAATTGTATTTGCTTTATTGGCAGTCATGCCATGCTGTTGAGTGACAATTAAAATGCCTGTGTTTTCCTCAGATATTTGGTCTCTTAGCTATATTTCCTTGTGCCCCACTTATACAGTTAATATTTGGACCTAGTAGAGGACTTTAGATTTATCTTTGTTAAGTTGCAATCTTGTAGATCTAGCTCAAATTTTTCTAGTCTATACAAATTAAACAAAAAATCTTAGTCTGTTATACAGTGTCTAATTGTAATCATTTCTAGTACTTTCTAACGTGTGCAACATGTTTCTCAGTGTGTGTCTGCCTCACTGTCACATGTAGTGCACAGGACAGTCTTGTGAAGAGAGCTCTTGTGTCCAGTAGAATCTTATCGACATTGGTCTTCAGCTCCCTTGGGAGTGGTCATTTAGCCAGTTGAGAATCTCCCTGTTTCCGCACAAAGGCCCACATTTCATTATCCAGTCATGAATAACTGGATGTCATGAAGAACTTCATTGAGGCTTCAAGATTGTTGGGAAATTATCACAGGATTGTTTCTTGAGAAATCTGTCTCCCACCATAAGCACTGTTTTCCAGGTCTTCCTAACAAATTTCAAATGAAATTTTAATAATACAAAAGTGACATAATATTAGCACAAATTTGGAAAACCAAAAAAAGTTACCTAAAATCTTAACACCAGACCTATGTTTTTTTCTTTTTTTTTTTGCTGCTTTTCTTTCTAGTCTGTTATCAGATATTTCTGACATACACACAGTCATGATATGCATTTAATTTGTATCTTTTTTAGAATTTAATTTTTATAAGATCATCTTCTTTTTGCAATAAGCAACATTTCATTGGCTGTGTAATTGTATGAGTCTTTCACCTTGAAGAATAATGCAGAATAATGATTTTTAACCTCATATTTATATTGAGCATTATAATTAAAATGCTATCTTATGCATTTTTCTCATTTGTTTGGATCCTCTCCCTGGTTATCTATAATTGGTACTATTGCAGTCATTAACAACTATTACTAGTTTTTTAGGGGATTAAGTTGAATCTTTGCTGATCATTTGAAACACCCTGAATGTTTCTTTTAAAGTCAAATTTATATTTTTGTTTTCTCATCATTCATCTTTTACGAGAAACAGAATGCATAATGCAAAAAACAAAGGTTTTTGGCTTATTTGTACTTATTTGTGTTTTTTCAAGTGTTTTCGCTGCTTCTTTTAAATATGAGAAATAATGTTTCATGGTCTTGTAGACCTGTTTTTCTTTAAAAGTAGAGATTTCTCAAAACTCAATAAGAATGGCTTAAGGTAAATATGTTTGGACTTAATTCACAGTCCGTGTAGTTGGACGTGGAAAGACTGGTCACAATGGAAATATTTGACTTGGTGGTGAGACTATAGGTTTCCTGCTTTGTCTTACTTTTATAGTTTTGGCATATGTCAATGAGTAAGTTCAAAATAGAGCCCAGAAAAAGAGGATAATGAATAATTTTTGTTTTATGGATTTGTAATCTGGTAACTACTGGCTGAATACACATACTCCTTCATATTTCTTGACAACCTCCTATTATCTTTCTGTATCTATCATTCTGTTTTATTTAGAATATCATTTATATTGCTATTCAATTAAAGGTTGTTTTTTGGATATCTAAAATGTCCAACTTATACCTATGGAGTTTTTGCATGAATTTTTTGTTTTTACTGTTGGAAGAAATGTACTGGATTCTGAGTCTTTCTAGTTCTGTTTAAGGGTACATGTGTAGCACTTTTTTAGGCATGTCGGTGTTAGAGAATCTTCTGTGTTCACTGCTAAAAGTCCTTAAACGTGTCTCTACATTTTCTAGTACCATAGAATCTCAGTGTCTTAAAGTCATCTAGGTTGACTCTGCATCTATTATTTGTATATTATCTACATTTCCAAACAAATCTGTTACGTACAATAAATGCGCTAAAATTATGCCAGACACAACACATTTACCAAGAATATAATTACAATAGTCTATATGTTTTGTTATACTTTAGTGTAGGTATATACTGTAATAGAAAACACAAAAAGTGCTGCATAAGCTGGGATGAGGTGATGATTAATTCTAAGGATGGGAAGGTTTAGGGGAAAGAGTGATGTCAGGGAAAATTGTAGAAAGGGCAATGTGTGAGTAGAATGATTGAAGTTATATTTTGCCAGGTAGTCACAGAAGGGGACTGGTTCAGGGAACAGCACAGCTTAGGCAAGATTGTGTGATGGTGCATGGATACTTAGTGTGGATTAACAAGTATACCCTGAAGGAGTAGTTTAGTTCACTACTACTAACCGGTCGTAGCAGTTCATTCCATCCACAAACAACTCTAGTTGAAAGTCTCTCTCCATAGCTTATTTTACACATATTATTTCTAATTTCTTTCCTTGGGAATCCATGTAAAATTCATTGTTTTTGTATATTTCTATTTTTAATATTTAGAAAGGGTTGTTCCCATGAATCCACTCTTCCCTGAGTCCTGGCCCAAACCAGGTCATATAGCCCTATCCTTGTAGTTGCTCTTTTTGTTATGTAGATTCATGGTCTGTAACTCTCCTGATTTTTTTTTTCCTTTTTCTGAGATAGGGTCTTGCTCTGTCGCCCAGGTTGGAGTGCAGTGGTGCCATAACAGCTCACTCAGCTTCTCAGGCTCAAAGGATCCTCCCACCTCAGTCTCCCGAGTAGCTGGGACCACAGCTGTGCATCACTATACCTGGCTAATTAAAAAAAAAATTTTTTTCTTTGCAGAGATGTCCAGGCTGGTTGTGAATTCCTTGGGCTCCAGTTATCCTCCCACCTTGCCCTCCCTTATAGGCGTGAGCTGTTGTGCCAGCCTCCTGATTCTTATCTGCCAAGCACATCCCACTTGTCTTTATCCTTCTTAAGGTATAATGCTCAGAATTAAGCATCTTATACTAGGTGTGGCCTGACTGGTTTGGAAAGAAATAAGACTGTCATTTTCTTTGTTCTAGTGACTAAACTTATGTTTTTCAGACTAAAAGTATGAGTCTGTATTGGTGACCGTATCAAACTGTTCCATTGTCCAGTCACATTAAATTACTTACACTGTCCTTGTAGCTCATTATCACTTAACATTTATTGAGATCCTGATAGTCCAAAGAGGATGGATAGAATTTGAGTTCCTAGTAATGGAAAATGGAAGAACTAAGTTCATTTCCCCTGAAGAGTTTTAATGTGTTTTGATCCATTGAAGTTGTTAAATGTATGAGCCTATGTATTATACAGCTAATGGTAGTTTGGATCTCCTTTTGATATGTGTTGGTTTCACATCTATCCAAACATCTGGTGAGGATATTTCAAACCACACTGGGTTTTCTATCAGCGTACTTTAAAAGTAAGCAATTCCAACTAAACATTATGAAGTCTTCCATACTATAAACCAAGAAGCAATTTAGTTGGCAACTCAAAAGTGGAATGTAGAATGAAAATGAAATGAGATAAACTCCCCCCACGAGGCAGTCCACAGTGTACACCCTAAAGGGATGAATGCTGATACAGTACATAAAGTGTGCTTTTATAAAAGCTTGGAATTTCCAAATATTTATCATGGCAGTGTTTTATGCTTAAATCACATAATGAATATAGTGTCATTTTTCTTTTTAGTTCTGTTATGCTGATAGTTTGAACTAATAAGTGATGAGACTCGAAACTTCAGCTAAATCCTTCTTCAATACTCTAAAGCATATATTCCACTTCAGTTGCAGAAGAGTCGTTCAAATTATTTAATGCCACTATAGACACAGTAAGAGTATCAGTATAAAACATAGCACCATTCCAAAAACTTTTGGTTTTTATTCCACTGTAATTAAGATTGAGAAACAAGGATTTGTCGTTGTTGTTCTAGCTTATGATTGGAATCCTAGAAAGCAATTTTAAACAGGTCGTTTTATAAGCTTAAGAGTTTAAAAAATCTATTTCTGTTTATTCAGGTTGAATTTTGCTTTGAAAATGTAAGAGATTTGTTGATACTTAGAATATACATCATTGTGAGTATTTTCTATGTACTGTTGGTTGATGGCCTAATAACAGTTTTTAGTGGTGTATAAATGTGTTTATAACTATCGTCAGATAAACTTGTTAACCTCAGTTTTTCAGATACTGATTTCTTTCCGAAGTATAGGAATTTCTTATACATGTTTCCTACTCTTTACCATCGGATTTGGGACCAGGTATTTCCATGGCTGACCACAACACTTTTTGTGTAGAGATTTGAATTTATTGTTTTGTTTCACATCCAGGAATTTGGTAGGCTAGATTATTTGGATCAAATCTTCTATTGAAAACAACTAAAATGCAGAATATAAAATTCTTTAAAATCTCCTTAAAATAATTGAAGAACTAACTACATGGTAAGCCATTATCAGGCTGATACTTGTGGGAAAGTAGAGGAGGTAAGCTACAAATTTAGGCTGTTTTGATCTTGAGGACATTTGCCCATTTGGCAAACTGGAACTTCATTTTGACAGTCCTATGTGATCAAAGGCACAGAAATCAAAGGGTCACATTCTTAGATTTATGGTGAATTATGCCTAAACCCTCTCTCCACATGGCCCCAGCGTGTTCCACAGGAAAAGTACTTTTGTGCTACGCAGAGCAGGAGTGGAGGGGGATTCCTAAGAAGGTGTAACCACAAGTAGACCCTCAAGCATACTGTAATCCAAAGACGTACTGCTTGGGTAGTCCAGAACATTTTAAACTCAGGATTTAGTTTTAGGAGTTTGGGAACTTGTGTAAGTCCTAGGTTCCTGACACAAGCCAACAGAATTTCTCTCTGGAGGAAGTTACCACAAATAAGACCCAAGAATAAGTTTTCAAAAGCAGTGAACAACACATAGTAAAAAATAACCAGGCACTCAAGGAAAAAGTCTGATGAGACCTCTCCTCTTACATCTCCTTTTCTCTTTTACTTTGGGTGCTGCTTCTCTTTTTCCTTCTGCTTCTCTTTTCTTTCTTATTATCTATTCTCCCTTCTTCAACTTTTGTAGCTGTTTTATTTGCATTGAAAATCATCCTCTACTTTGTGGCCTCTTGAAGCATTTATTTTATTTTGTTCTCGGTTCTGTTGCTCTGGTTAAGTCCTTCCTTGTCATCTCACAAATAGTCTATTGTTAGAACCTTTTAGTTGACTTTAATTTTATTTTTTCTTCCTAAATTCAATAGTAAATCAGGTTCAGGCTAATTAAGTCTCTTCTCACAATCCTTCAGTAGTTTCTCTGTGAAAATTCCTGAGCATGACTTTTGATTTCCTTGTAATCTGGCCCCAGATAAAAGAACTAAAAAGTATTGGAAGCTGGGGGAATGATTGAGCACCATTTATTCATGACATTCATTTCCATACTGGATAACAGTATTTTAAATGAATCTATACGCTGTTTGAGAAATTAGTTTTTTTTGTTTTGTTTTAGTATTACCATTGGCTTTTCGTGTAGTGATTTACACATAATAGCTGCCCAATAAATGTTCACTGGATGAATTAATGACTAAAGAGAGAACAGATAAAACTGTTCAGTCACCTGCCTCCCTTGGCACATGTTGCCTCTATCAAGGATAAAGGGACAAGGACCAGCTCTGACATGCTTGTTGTCACACTGTGGATTGTCCTTTGTGCTCTCAGTTTCTCAGTGTATCCCCAATACCCATTGAGTTATGCATCTTATCTGAGCTTCAGCTCTCTTGGTGGTGGGATATAGGGAAAGAGTGGTGCCAACATAAACCATGCTTAGGGCATGACATGAGGCCTGGATTTTCCTCTCTTGCCAGGTGGAGTATTTCATCTCTAGGATCAAGATTGTGATCAGAAAGAACCAGTGTTCTCTAATTTACAGAGCCAGTAACAATGTCATTCATTTTAAGTAAAGTATGCATAGAAAATTTCTATCTCAATAAAAAAGAGAGATCAGGAAACTATTTATTTTGTACAACCCAAAGACTTAAGGAATTTCGAGACTGGAAGAATGTGTGAGTTATCAGGCAAGATGAGGTTGATAGGAGGAACCTGCATTCACTGGTGGTTCATTATAGTTTGCAGGTCTTTCCACGTATTATCTCTTTTTGTCTTTATACCAATCCTATGATACAGGCAAAGCAGATTCCTATTATTACCATTTTACAGACAAGTTAATGTCTAGCTAGCCTTTCTTTTTGCAAACGAATCACTTAGATCATTTCTGGAAGCATTAGCTGAATACCTCCCATATCCCCCACACTCTGCTCTTGATTGCATTTTTTTTCTGATCTCCGCTATCACTAATTAAGCTTTGTAATCTCAGCAAAACACTGACTGTTTTCTTCCATAACATTCTTGTTTGTAAAATCTGTACTCTATATCACAGCATTTTTTTTTTTTACTTTCTACATCTCATTTTAACCTTTCTAGCCACCTTTCTTTCCTCCACTCCAGCATATGAGCATATTACTTTGTAGACAAATAAAATAAGTAAATGCTGAATTAATTGTTAAGTCAAAAGCTTCTCTTTCAGCCCTTTTAGGTTAGGAAAAACAAAGATCCTACTTGGCATAAACAAAATGTCAACAGAAGATGCGCAATAATGTCTATAAAAATCTGAGGACACAAAACTTGGGCAATGCAGATAATCTACCTTGATTATAGGGACTTCACTCAATCTAACATTCTGGCAAACTAAAAACTTCTTTGATGTTGATAATATTTGAGAGCAAATAGGCACACTGTGTTAGGTCTTGGGATAACTAAACGTCCAAGACTTATTTTTCAGGTTCATAAGCAAGTGAACAACATTCAAGCAATACTAAAATTGCGTGTGGCTAAGTGCTAAAACATGAAGTTTACTTACCACAGCAGTCATTGAGTGCCTACTTTTTCTGGGTACTGAGAATAAACACAGAAATCTGTCCTTAAATTTGAATAGTGAAGATGAAATTGTGGGCCTGAGTGCAAATTGTCTCTTCTGTTAGAGATTTTCTTAATGAGAATATTTCTGTTAAGATTGAGTTCAGAGAGAATTCATGAATACTCAAAGATTATTGATGTTACTGATGTTGGGCTCACTTCCTTTCTGATAGATTATTATCACTAATTAATTTGTTACATTTTGAGGCCAAATTTTTCAACTTAAGTAAATAAATCTACATTTAGGATGACAGGAAGAAAGAAAAAGTATTTTCATATACAAAAGAAGTAATCATCATTTCTTCAAATAAAATTGTAAGAACTGACTATTGGTTTACTAAGTGTCCATCTAATCAAGAAATGAATCATGACAGCTTTCCTTGTCCATCTAATCTATCCTGTCAGAACTTCTGAGGATCCCCAAAGCAATTCGTTCTGGTTGGTGGCATCTATGTTGTGTGAGAACAATACCAAACATGTGCCTGTGGTGGGAGTGGAAAGGCCCTTAGGAGGTGAAGGCACTCATATCCTCATAAATTACAGCTGTGGTCATAATTCTTTAGTATTTTAGCTCAACATTTCAACAAGTTTTTTATGTTAATATTTTATTTGGAGCAATATTGTGATTTTCCAAGTGATTTCTCTTATGGAAACTCTTGGGTCTATGGAGGACACAGACAAATATTTCAGAGCTTTTTTATTGCTCCAGACAGCAGCAAACACATGGCAACAATAATACACTAAAAGGAAAACTATTATAGTCGGCCTGAACATTCTTCGTCAAAGCCCTTCTTTCATAATCTTGGCCATAAAGGGCCTGGAAAGGCATACTATCACCTCTTCATTGTGTTATTCTCTGCCAGCACGTAGCCCAGAAGGGAAATAAAACACATTTAACTGATGTGCACAGGCAGAAGAAAATCTATCAGCAACTTTCTGTGAAATGTCTATTATATGAATTGAAAAGTATGTAAAAGCTGGGAGCAGCCTTTGTCACTACTGAAGTTGTTTCGAAGTCCCCGAGTCAGCTGCAGAACGGCAGCTTTGGGGAGGAGCAGCAGCATGCTGGTTACTCATGGTTGGCTGTTCCCTTCTGATTTAAGTGGAGATGCTGCCTGGCCAGTGTGCCTTGAAAGGTCTGGATTTTAACAGAGTAGCTCTCTGTATCGTATTAGAATGATGGGAATTCTAGGTGTGTGAGCCACAATTTTCTATTGTGTAAGATCAATGTCTTTGACTTGTGTGTTAGCACAAAAGTGTTGCTTCTAGTAGAGGGATGAAAAGAAGAAAGGGGAGGCAGGGTTTCATTGAAACTGCCAGCCTCTAGGTCAGTGCACATAGATAGTTACTGCCTCAGGAGGCACAATTGCTGGGTGAATGGTACCACAGAGATTGATTTAGAGTCATGGCTAGTGGGGGTGTTCTACATGTCATGTCTGGAAGAAAATCAGGTGTGTTTTTGAGACAGTGTGTTTTCATGTGGAGCAAACAATCAAAACCAGTGAGTGAGAGCAACCCCAGCATGACCATTGTTTCCTCACCTGTGCCACACTCTCTGTGAAGAGTTGTGTCCACACTTTAGTTTATTTAATAATTTGATGTAATCTGTATTGTATCCCTCATTTTATTCAGAAAATAAGCTCAGAGAATTTTTATATCTTAAGGCCACAGAATTAATGAATGACAGGAGAGCCTGGATTAATGAATGACTAGAGAGTTCAGGTATGCCTGACTTTAGTAATGTCTACATTTCATGGTTGGCCAGGTGTGGTGACTCACGCCTGTAATCCAGCACTTTGGGAAGCCGAGGCAGGTGGATTGCTTAAGCTCAGGAGTTTGAGACCAGCCTGGGAAACATAGTGAGACCCTGTTTCTACAAAAAATACAAAAATTAGCCGGTGTGGTGGTGAGCGCCTGTAGTCCCAGTTACTTGGAGGCTGAAGTGAGAGGATCACTTGAGCCCAAAATGTTGAGGCTACAGTGAGCTGAGATAGTGACACTGCACTCCAGCCTGGATGACAGAGTGAGACCCTGTTTAAAAAAAAATAGTTAGATTTTTCTCTTCCGAGGAGACTGATGTGCAAAAAAGTCAGAGAAACTGGAAGGAAGTGCATATGACTGCTAAATGTGTAAGGTAAGGTGCACAGACAATTAAGAATAATGTTAATTCAAGATGAAATATTATAATCAGAGTTATTTACTTAGTGAGAAAAGAAACCCGATTTTTTTATTTAGCCTAACATATTTGCTATACTAAAAAGCCACAGGTGATTCACAAGAAAAAAATAAGTGAGAAAATAATGAAAATAACCATGTTACAGATACCTAGGGAGAAAGAAAGGAATAAAAAAGATAAGGTCACGAGAGTGGACCTGGGTTTGCCTTAAAGATTTCTAAGCTAAGAAAAATAATTTTTTTTTTTGCTTCTTTCATGGAAGAGAAAATACTTTCATAAACTTAAGGATCTCATGACATTGGTTAAATAGGACTGTAGAAGAGTAGACTTTTCTAAATGTGAACATGTTCAGGTATTTTCCTAGGCTTCATTTGCTTTGTCTAGTAAAAACTGGTACAACCTTGAAAAATGATAGGGTTGCTAAATTTGGTACTGACTTCTGAATTTGGTTGTGGTTTTATGTAACTAATTGCAAGACTGGTTCTTTCACTTTAATAGTGTCAGAAAGTTTCTGATGAAGGGGATAGTCCTCTCTGGTTTGCTCAAATTATATGTAAACCCACTCTTTTACTTTTGAGAAGTTGAATTAAAGAGTTTTATTTAGGCCGGGCATGGTGGCTCACACCTGTAATCCCAGCACTTTGGGAAGCTGAGGCGGGCGGATCACAAGGTCAGGAGATCGAGACCATCCTGGCTAACACGGTGAAACCCCATCTCTATTTAAAAATACAAAAAATTAGCCGGGCGTGGTGGCGGGCGCCTGTAGTCCCAGCTACACGGGAGGCTGAGGCAGGAGAATGGTGTGAACCCGGGAGGCGGAGCTTGCAGTGAGTCAAGATCGCGCCACTGCACTCCAGCCTGGGTGACAGAGCAAGACTCCGTCTCAAAAAAAAGAAAAAAAAAGAGTTTTATTTAGATTATTTTATTAGAGCTGCTTGCTGTGAAATGAAGGGTAATTGAGTAATCTAGAATCTGGGAGCTATTTTAGAGATTGGAAAGTTTGATCATCATCTGCTACTTGAACAAATAAGCAGCTTGTCAAATGTGAGTCCAACCACTTGATGAAAAAGGGTATGTTTATGGGGTGGCCACTTGTTCATTTGTTTTTAAAGTTTATATGATTTTTAAAATCTCTTTTCTCCCTCAAACCTCTCAAACGCAGATGCCTCTACATTATAGGTATAGTACTTGGAAATACATAAATTGATATGAAGAGTATCTATGAGGAGGAAGGAAAAGGTTAATTAAGTTTTATGTAATCAATTGTAATTTTTATAATCTGACCCAAGACTTTAGCCAGGAAAGTAAGTTACTTGCATTTACCTAAAATATAAAGTGTAGCACGGTATTTTGCATATAGAGGGCATTTGATTAAGTATTTGTTAATTTGGTTTTCTCTGCCCAGAACTGTCCTTGAGACATATAATTTGACTGATTTATGATTTATTATAACTTAAATATTATATATTTTAGCTTTAGCTGTTTCTTCTTATTCAAGTTGAATAATTTCTGTTAATGTGGGCCATTGTAATACCCCCCAATTAACTGGAATATTTTGTTAGAAATAAACCTCCACTTGAGTATATCTGTCAGGATATAGGATATCAATAGCAAATGATAAATATACCATAATTTGCAGATTAGTTGATGATGGACTTACCCAATAAGCTGTAGTTATATTAAGACTCAAATTGCATGAAGGTTTGTGAGAAATCAGAGACTTGATTGTAAAATGAAGGCAAAATTAGCTTTCTGAGGGTATAGGCATAACCTTCAACTCTTGATTATCTAGAAGATGTTTGGGTCAATCTTTCAAAGTAGTTAGAATTAACCAAAATATCAGAAGAGGTGTCTGTATTCTGTATTCAGTGTGGCATTTTCATTTGAATGATTTGATTTTTCCTTCTTAAGTGGTTGTTTTGAATCTTGTTTTTCTGTCCACTTCATTTAATTTTACAACCCATTAGAGTAAGTCAGGATGTATTTATGGTTTTTGTGTTTTCTTGGGGCTGCCTTAGATACTTGACGAGTTGCAGATTACTTAATAATGGTAATACTATGGTTGGGTAGCTGGATTAGATGGAAGATTTGCTGTTGTTGGATGGTCTGGGCTCCATCCAGGCTCAAGCTGTATGGATGTGAAAGTGCAGGAAGTATGATTAAGGAAGATACTAGCGTTTACTAAGTGCTCGACATCGTGCTAAAGTGTTAAAGGTATCTAATCTTGTATTGATTAAAAGCCACAGTGCCGTGTTTCTAATCCCACTGTCTGATTTTACCCTGAGAACCTACATTTGCCAAGTGACTTGGAGAAATTGTTTAAGTTGTTTATACTCAATTCTCTGAAAAATTTGCAGATACCTGCTTCTGTGTTTTATAAATGATGATGTTTAGTGGGACTTTTAAGAATTGTAGAAATGGGATTGTGGTTTTTCTTAAAAAGACATCTTGTGATGAAGAATGAATAGGTTTGAATCCTTGTCAGTACCAAGGTGTGTAACTTACTTTAACCACCTTTACCCACTTTGGGGTTCGGTTTTGTCATCCAGTGAGGATATTGAATTAGATAAATATTTTGAAGGCTTTTGTTTAAATGAGTGCAACCCACAGTAAGAAATATGTTTTATAAAACATTATAGCACAGACACATGTTGAAAACAGAAATTTTACAAACCAGTATATGTTCTTACAGTGTGCAATATTTCTTTATTTTTTAAAAGTGTCATTAACTAAATTGATTTTGTGACCCATAACCATTACTTTCAGTTTGAAAAACACTGTTTTAGATGCTCTCAGACAGCTCTTTCAGTGTTAGGATTTATAAGTGAGATTTAGGATTTAATTTTGTTATTTTTGATCAAAGAAATGCACTTTGAGTTTTTAGCAATGTTGAGCTGTAATCCTCATTGTAACATGGAGGGGACATGATAGGAGCCCATGCCTGCAATTTTATGAGGGGACCTGCCAGATAGACTGCTGTGGGATATGTGGGGCCCTGGGCCGCTGGCCTGGCCAGCAGCAGTGACACTCTTCTCTTTTTGTCTCCTTCTGTTGACTGTCTCCCTGTCGCAGTACCTCATTCTTTGTGCTGCCTTACTTTCCTGATTACTAAAAGAAAATACTTGAAGTGCATCGAGGGAATGACCAGTGAGCCCTGTGGTAAATGTCATCAGCTGATGGGTTCTTGAAAAGTCCATGGATTTTGTTTGAGTGTGTGTTTGTGTGTGTGTGCGCACACGTGTGTGTAAAGTAGGGAACACGTATCATGTGTCTTTTATCTCATTACTTTCTTCATCTTGAATGTTATTACTATGCATATAATTGTTTGTATAGCTGGGATGAACGTAGAAATAGTGTTCCATCATGTAAGAACAATGAGGGTATTTCCTATTGTGGCTAAATCGCCTGAACTTTTTGGCAGTGGTGAGATTGAGCTGGGCATTGGGTTTGTTACACCACATTCTGCTTGCTTACACGCTCCTGGAAGTCAGACAGTTTTGAAGTGGGTGGTAATTGAGAGGCCACCTTCGTTGATATCTTTTTGCTTGAGAGAGGGAGAGGGGAGATCTCAGCAATAAACATATCTATTCTGGAATTCCAAAGACCTCATTAGAACAGAAATGATGGGTCATTCACCTACGCTGAATTTTTCATTGTGAATATTCTCTAAAACAGAGAGAAGGGCTCCAGATCAAACCCATACTGTAAGGAGGCCTACAAAAGCAAATCGGTACACTGTGGTAGCATAGAGTGTGGCTTGTGGCCTGTGACTTTCAGGGTTGTGGTTAATCTTATTGCTAAAATGCAAACATTGGCTTTTTTTTTCCCCCTCAAAGTCAGCCTAGGTCAGGGGAGCAAGCTGCAGAACTGGGTAATGTAAGTTCAAATGATGAGGTGATGGAAGGGCTCTAGGACAAGGACATTCCAGAGCAGAGGGATGTGGACAGACAAGCAGAAGGTTGTCTGGAGGAATCCGGAGGGGAAGTCCTGATGAAAGACTTTGTGTGGTCCTTCATAAGGCTGTTGGGTGTTCAGGGAAAGAAGGCCGAGCCATCCTACTGAGCTGCACAGAGAGGGCATAGAGCAGCCCTCTGGGACTGAGCCATTAGCAGTGTGCAGACTCTTTGTGTGTAGCCAGAGAAAACCATCCGGAGTTCCTAGGGCATATTTTTCTGTCCTGATTGTTTTGTTTTGTTTTTTTTTCCACCACAGAAGTGCTGATTTTACCATATCTTTTTCATCTTTCAAAAGTTTAAAATATAGAACATGGGTTTCTCACTAAGAATCTGACATTTTACGTTTACTAACACATTTTAAAACAAACCTTTGATAAAAATATTTAAAGAGTTTTTGTGAGACTATTGTATGAGCCCATACAATGGCCTTGTTAAGTTGGGGGATATTTTCTCAGTTTTACAGAAAATTGAGGCTACTATAATTATTCAGTTGGGCCATATGAAATTGCGATCTTGTAGCACCCAAATACAGTAGTTGAATATCAGCAGTATTAGGTTGTTCAACCTAATAACTTACCTGAGATGAAATACCCAGGAAGTGACAGGAATGGTATTGTAATTCAGCTCTGATGACACCAGAATTAATCTTCGCATTTTTATACTTTCCAAGAATTGGCCTGCTTGGACCTGTAACACCAGTGCCAGTGTACACTGCCTTGGGGCCCAAGGAAATGCATGCTCAACCCACTGCTGCTATCATGGGGCCTGAAGACTGACTTACCTGCCACCCCAGGCCCTAGCAAAACGTTACCACAGCCTCCACTAATAACTGCACCATAAGCTACTGAGGAAATCACAGATAACTGGTGCTGTGTACAGCTGAAGAAATCTTACAGAGACTACACTACTGCATACATCTAGAATCATAGCTAAAGTGCCCTACCCAACCAACACCATAGATACATGTTCAAAACAATGCCCTCCCCTGTTAAAGTAAATTCAAAAAATTGAAGGCAGTGACTGACACCAGATGCCCAAGTAGCAACATAAGGATGCAGGAAACATCAAAAAGCAAGGAAATATGACATCTCCAGGGGAACACAATAATTCTTCAGCAATGATTCCGATCAAAAAGAAATTCACGAAATCCTGAACAAATAATTCACATTCTTGATTGTGAAGAAGCTCAGTGAGATACCAGGGAATTATGAAAAATAATACATAGAAATCAGAAAAACAGTGCAGGATATGAATGAAAAATTTGCCAAAGAGATAGTTATCATAAAAAAGAACCATACAGAAATCCTGAAACTGAAGAATTCATTGAATGAAATAAAAAATGTTAGATTCAACAATAGTCTAGATTAAGCAGAAGAAGGAATCTGACAACTCAAAGACAGAAGACAGGTCTTTCAAAATAACCTAATCAGACAGAAATAATGTTAAAAGAATAAAAAAGAATAATTGAAGCCTTCGAGACATATGGGATACTATAAAGCCACCACATATTTGAATCATTTGGGTCCCAGAAGACAGAGAACAAAAGGATTGGAAAACTCATCTATTTTTTTGTTATTAAATAATAGATGAAAACTTCCCAAATCTATCAAATGATTTAGATATCCAGAAACAGGAGGCTCCAAGATCCGCAAACATATACAATGCAAGAAAGTCTTCTCCTTGGCACATTATAGTCAAACTATCTAAAGTCAAAGACAGAATTCTGAAAAAGGCAAGAGAAAAGTGCCTAGTCAGTTGTAAAGAAAACCTTATCAGGCTAATAGTGAATTTCTCAGCAGAAACCTTACAAGCCAGGAAAGAATGATACATTCAAAGTACTGAATGAAAAAAATGCTATCCAAGGGATACTATATCTAGCAAAAATATTCTTTGTAACTGAAGGAGAAATAAAGTCTTCCCCAGAAATTGCTTAAGGGAGTCCTAATCCTGGGAGCAAAATGACTACATTTACCATCATGAAAACTTATGAATGTGTAAAACCTGCTAATAAAGCAATCACACAAAGGAATAAGGGAAAGTAATTAAATGGTACCTGTACGGAAAACCACCAAACCAAAATTAGAAAAAATAAGTGAAAAAGAAAGGAATGAAGAGTATATAAAACCAGAAAACAATAACAATATAATAGGAACAAAACCTCACATGTTAATAATAATCTTGAATGTGGAAGGATTGAATTTTCCACTTAGAAGCTACAGCCTGGCAGAATGGATTAAAAATTAAGATCCAGCTATATATTACCTGCAAGAAACACACTTTACCTATAATGGCACATGTAGACTAAAAATAAAGGAATGGAAAAAATTACTCCACACGAACAGAAACCAAAAGTGAGTAGGAGTAGCTATACTTATGTCAGATAAAACAGACTTTAAGTCAAACACAGTAAAAAAAAAAAAAAAAAAAAAAAAAAGACAAGGTCATTATGCAATGACAAAGGAATCAATTCAGCAACAGAATATTATGGCTCTAAATATATATGTGTCCAACACTGGAGCAACAAGATTCATAGGATAAATATTACTAGATTTAAGGAGAGAGACTACAATACAATAATAGTGGGGAACTCCAACCCCATTCTCAGCATGAGACAAATCATTTAGACAGAAAGTTAACAAACATTTATAAACTTTTATTTAAACTGGATTTTAGACTACCTGGACTCAACAGATATTTACAGAACATTTTATCCAAAAACTACAGAATATAAAGTCTTCTCATCAGCACATGGAATATTCTCCAGAATAGACTGTTAGGCCACAAAATAGGTAACAACAATTTTTTAAAACGCAAGATCATATCAACTATGTCCTCAGAACACAATGGAATAAAACTAGAAATATCAAGAGGATCTTTGGAAACTATACGGATGTATGGAATTAAACAACATGTTCCTGAATGACGATTAGATCAATTAAGAAATTAAGAAGGAAGTTAAAAAATTTCTTGAAACGAATGAAAGTGGAAACACAACATACCAAAACCTGTGGGATACAGCAAAAGCAGTACTAACATGAAGTTTATAGCAATAAATGCCCACATCAAAACAGTAGAGTTTAAATAAACAATCTAATGATGCACCTCAAGAAACTAGAAAAGCAAGAACAAAACAAATCCAAGATTAGGAGAAAGAAAGAAATAATGTAGATCAGGGCAGAGATAAGCAAAATAGAGACTAAAGTAACAGTTCAAAGGATCAGTTAAACGAAAAGTTGATTCTTTGAAAAGACACAAAATTGATAAATCACTAGCTTGACTAACCAAGAAAAGGAGAGATGACCCACATAAATCAGAAATAAAAAAGAAATTACATCTGATACCACAGAAATACAAAGGTTCATCAGAGACTATCATGAACAGCTACACACTAACAGACTGGAAAATCTAGAGGAAATGGATAATTTCCTGGACACCTACCATCTACCAAGCTTGAATCTGGAAAAAACAGAAAGCCTGAACAAACCAATAACCAGTAACAAAGTCATATCAGTAATAAAAAGTCTCTCAGCAAAGAAAGGGCTAGGAGCAGATTGATTCTTGGCCGAATTCTACCATATGTATAAAGAAGAACTGATACTAATCCTCTTGAAACTATTCCAAAAAATTGAAGAGAAAGGAATTCTCCCTAACTCATTCTATGAGGGCAGCATCACCCTTATACCAAAACCAGACAAGGACACACAAAAAAAGAAAAGTACAGGTCATTATTCTTGATGAATATGGATTCAAAAATCCTCGACAGAATACTGGCAAACTGATTCCTACTGCACATTGAAAAGATAATACACCACAATCAAGTGGGCTTTATACCAGGGCTACAAGGATGGTTCAACATATGCAAATTAACAAATGTGATACATCACGTAAGCAGAATGAATGATAAAAAACATACGATCATCTCAATAGTTGTAGAAAAAGCATTTGATAAAATTCAGCATCCCTTCATGATAAAAAACTCTCAGCAAATATGGCATAGAAGAAACATACCTCAAAATCATAAAGGACATATATGGCAAACTCACAGCTAACATCATACTGAATGGGGAAAAGTTGAAAGTCTTTGCTTTAGGAACAGAAACAATACCAGGATGCCCATTTTCACCACTCCTATTCTACATGGCACTGGAAATCCTAGCAAATCACACAAGATTAAAAAATAAAATGCATTTAAATTGGTAGAAAGGAAGTCAGACTGTTTACCTTTGAGATGACGTGATCTTATTAGAAAAAAACAAGACTACCACAAAAAACTCTTAGAACTGATAAACAAATTCAGCCAAGTTGCAGAATACAAAATGAACATGTAAAAATCAGTAGTGTTCCTATACAAGTATAATGAAATAGCCACCAAAGATATCAAGAAGGCAATTCTATTTACACTAGCTATTAAAAAAACATAGGAATAAATTTAACCAAGGAGGTAAAGATTTCGACAAAGCAAACTACAAAAGATGGATGAACGAAATAGAAGACAAACAAATGAAAAGATATCCCATGCTCATGAATCAAAAGAATTTATAGCATTTGTCAATTTTGGCTTTTGTTGCCATTGCTTTTGGTGTTTTAGACATGAAGTCCTTGCCCATGCGTATGTCCTGAATGGTATTGCCTAGGTTTTCTTCTAGGGTTTTTATGGCTTTAGGTCTAACATTTAAGTCTTTAATCCATCTTGAATTAATTTTTGTATAAGGTGTAAGGAAGGGATCCAGTTTCAGCTTTCTACATACAGCTAGCCAGTTTTCCCAGCACCATTTATTAAATAGGGAATCCTTTCCCCATTGCTTATTTTTGTCAGGTTTGTCAAAGATCAGATAGTTGTAGATATGTGGCATTATTTCTGAGGGCTCTGTTCTGTTCCATTGGTCTATATCTCTGTTTTGGTACCAGTACCATGCTGTTTTGGTTACTGTAGCCTTGTAGTACAGTTTGAAGTCAGGTAGCGTGATGCCTCCAGCATTATTCTTTTGGCTTAGGATTGGCTTGGCAATGTGGGCTCTCTTTTGGTTCCATATGAACTTTAAAGTAGTTTTTTTCCAATTCTGTGAAGAAAGTCATTGGTAGCTTGATGGGGATGGCATTGAATCTATAAATTACCTTGGGCAGTATGGCCATTTTCACGATATTGATTCTTCCTACCCATGAGCATGGAAAGTTCTTCCATTTGTATGGGATCTAATTAATCTAAAGAGCTTCTGCACAGCAAAAGAAACTACCATCAGAGTGAACAGGCAACCTACAGAATGGGAGAAAATTTTTGCAATCTACGCATCTGACAAAGGGCTAATATCCAGAATCTACAAAGAACTCAGACAAATTTAGAAGAAAAAACAACCCCATCAACAAGTGGGCGAAGGATATGAACAGACACTTCTCAAAAGAAGACATTTATGCAGCCAAAAGACACATGAAAAAATGCTCATCATCACTGGCCATCAGAGAAATGCAAATCAAAACCACAGTGAGATACCATCTCACACCAGTTAGAATGGCAATCATTAAAAAGTCAGGAAACAACAGGTGCTGGAGAGGATGTGGAGAAATAGGAACACTTTTACACTGTTGGTGGGACTGTGAACTAGTTCAACCATTGTGGAAGTCAGTGTGGCGATCCCTCAGGGATCTAGAATTAGAAATACCATTTGACCCAGCCATCCCATTACTGGGTATATACCCAAAGAATTATAAATCATGCTGCTATAAAGACACATGCACACGTATGTTTATTGCAGCACTATTCACAATAGCAAAGACTTGGAACCAACCCAAATGTCCAACAATGATAGACTGGATTAAGAAAATGTGGCACATATACACCATGGAAAACTATGTAGCCATAAAAAATGATGAGTTCATGTCCTTTGTAGGAACATGGATGAAGATGGAAACCATCATTCTCAGCAAACTTTCGCAAGGACAAAAACCAAACATCGCGTGTTCTCACTCATAGGTGGGAATTGAACAATGAGAACACTTGGACACAGGAAGAGGAACATCACACACCAGGGCCTGTTGTGGGGAGGGATAGCATTAGGAGGTATGCCTAATGTTAAATGACGAGTTAACGGGTGCAGCACACCAACATGGCACATGTATACATATGTAACAAACCTGCACATTGTGCACATGTACCCTAAAACTTAAAGTATAATTTAAAAAATCCACTTTCCTGTAAAAAAAAAAAATTTATAGCATTAACATGACAATACTGCTCAAAGGCATCTACTATATCAGTGCAGTCCCTATCAAAATAGCAATGTCATTTCTCACAGAAATAGAAAAAATAATTCTAATGTTGTTATGGAACCAAAGAGAACAGCCAAAGAAATCCTGAGCAAAAGGAATAAAGCTGGAAGCATCACACTCTCTGACCTCAAAATATATTTCAAGACTATAGTAATCAAAATATCATCATATAGCTATAAAAAGTTATATAGAACAGTGGAACAGAATAGAGAACCCAGAAATAAATCTACATACTTATAACAACTGATTTTTGACAAAGACACCAAGAGCATACGTTAGGGAAAGTACACCCTCTTCAATAAATGGTTCTGGGGAAAATTGGATATCCACATGCAGAAGAATGAAACTGGACCTGACTTTCTCCCAGTATAGGAAGACTTAAATGTGGTCAGGCATGGTGGCTCATGCTTGTAATCCCAGCACTTTGAGAGGCTGAATCAGGAGAATTTCTTGAGGCCAGGAGTTCAAGACCCACCTTGGCAACATAGTGAGACCCTACCTTTGTTAAAAATAAATAATTAATTTTTTAAAAGACTTAAACGTAAGACCCAAAGCTGTAAAACTACTAGAATAAAACATAGGGAAAACACTTAAGGATGTTGTTCTAGACAAAGATTTTATGGTTAAGATCTCAAAGCACAGAGAACTAAAACAAAAATAGACAAATGGCACTATATTAAACTAAAAAGCATCTGCACAGCAAAGGAAACAGTCAAAAGAATGAAGAAACAACCTATTGAGCGGAAAAAAATATTTGCAAACTATTCATCCAACAATGGACTGATATCCAAAATGTGCAGGGTACTCAAATAGCTCAACAATAAAAAAAATCCCATTGAAAAGTAGGCAAAGCCCATAAATGGACAATTCTCCAAAGCCATGCAAGTGGCCAACAGGTATTTGAAAAGATGCTCAAGATCACTAAGTGTCAGGGAAATGTAAATCAATACAAGGATGATATATCATCTTACCCCAGTTAGAATGGTTATCATTAAAAAGGCAAAAAATAGCAGATGTTGGCAAGGATATAGAGGAAAGGGAACTCTTGTACACTGGTTGTGGGAAGGTGAATTAATACAACCACTTATGGAAAACAGTATGGATATTTCTTAGAAAACTAAAAATAGAACTGTCATACTGTCCATCAATTCTACTATTGGGCATCTATCCAAAGGAAAGGAAATTAGTATTTCAAAGGCATACCTGCACTTGCATGTTTATTGCAGCAGTATTCACAATAGGAAAGTGAATTATGGAATCAACCTAACTGTTCATCGGTGGACAAATGTATAAAGAAAATGTGGTATATATACATGATGGAATATTATTTGGCCGTAAAACATAATGAAAGAATGAAATCATATTATTTGCAGCCACATGTATGGAACTGGAGGTCATTATATAACCCAGGCACAGAAAGATAAATTCCACATGTTGTCACTGATATGTGTGAGCTAAAAAACTTACCCTTGTGGCAGTAAAGAGTAGAACGATAGATGCCAGAGAGTGGGAAGGATGTGTGGGTGGCAGGGGTTGGAGGGGAACAGATAAAGAGAGTTTGGTCAATGAGTACAAACATACAGTTAGAAGATGTAAGTTCTAATATTTGGTAGCAGGGTAGGGTGACTGTAGTTAGTGACAATGTGTTGTATATTTCAGAGCAGCTAGAAGAGAGGACTTGAAATGTTCCCAACACATAGAAATGATAAATACCCAAGGTGATGAATACCCCAAACACCCTAACTTGATCATTACACATTCTATACATGTAGCAAAATATCACATGTGCTCTGAAAATATGTAAAATATGTATCAACAAAAGTTTTTGTTTGTTTTTAAAGCAGCCTATAAACAGAGTGTCATTTTCTGAATACTAAAGATATTCCTTTTTTATGCATCTGGTAAGTGGCTTCTTTTTATTCTGCAGACTGATGCTCTGCCTTTCCAGGATGCCACGATGATGAAGAGTAACCAGATACATTTAGAAAAGGTGCCTCTCCGGGGCCCAGAGCTGTTGCCAAGGCGCACTGGTGCATTCGGCACAAAGCGGTGCGGGCAGAAATTAACATGGTCTGCATCAGGTGGAGGCTGTGTTAATTTTCCCTGTGCACTGACTGTCTAACCTAAACATCCCATGGTGGAAACAGAACCATTAGTTGGTATTTCTAGGGAAGGGACATTGAGCCTCAGATGGGTTAAAACAATATTTGCAAAAAGAAAATAGTCTATTAATGAAGATTATCTGAACCTGAGACAGAGAAAGGTCACACACTCAGCTTATTTAAGCAAATAGAAATTCACAAATGTGTTTGTGATTTTACCAGTTATAGCAATTTCAAGTATTGAAATGGCATTTGGAACAAGAAGATGGGGTTCAGGTTAGAGCACAGTGAATAACAAAGTGAAAATGTTGTTATTCTTGCAGCTTATAGATACCTCATTGTGTTTGCTTCTGCTAAATGCTGATGAAATGGTCTTGAAAGAGCAATGCCTGTTGTTCTTGGCTTCTATTGATTTTGTTCCATGCAGTGTGAAGGATCTACTGCTTGTCCTAAAATGATGAAATTGTAAGAAGATTGGTTTTGGATGACAGCCAGTATCTTTCCTTAACTTCAGTTTGCAGAAATTGGTCACCCAAAAACAAAACTGTAACTCCCAGAATCCACTCCCTACTCCTATGAAACTAAAACTTAGAGTTCATGCTCCTAATAGCTTTGAGAGAATTGGAAATTCCAGCATATTTTGGAGCAATAATCCATGTTTGATCAGTTTTATTTAAAATGAAAAGGATAGGCAGGCTGCCTTCAGACATCCTAAGCCTTTGTAGATATCTTACTTTTCTTCAAATATTCACGAGGAGTAACTGTTGGAACCTTCATGAATTATGGTATTGAAGGTAAAGGAGATTTGCTCCCCTTTCTTTTAGAATTTTGAACATTTTACTGGATCTCAATTGTAGAAACAAAAGTTTTTAAATGTAAATTAATAGTGGCTTTGTTCTAAGGCATACATTTCCTACTGTGTAAAGGAAAAGTTAAGCATGTAAATTGTATCCATGGCCAAACACCTACACAGACAAACACAGACAAGCAACACACAGACATGCAATACACACACACATGCACACACGCCCCTGCCTGGCAAGAACCCTCTTACTCACATGTGGGTTTCTTCGCTAATAAAGAATTGTTCTACGAATGCAAAGAAGGCTTTTTCATCACTTTTACTCTTTTTTCCCCCCTTCGTTGCTTTAATCAAAGTGTTTCCATTTTAGACATAAAGAAAGTGAGGTATAGGTATGTGCTGTGAACTTCCCAAGATCACATTCAAAGTAAGAAACATTGGCATAAGCAGCTCGAGCTTGGACCGTCTTGGAATTGGTATTCAGTCTTCGCAATCATTTGCCTTTTTGCTATCTTAGACACTTCAACTATGGCACTACAGGTCCGTGAATGGAGGTTTGGGGTTTGAGGGTTTAGAATTTTTGTTCTTTTTTTTTTTTTTTAAATGTGAAGTATCCCGTATGTCATTGTTTTTCATAGCTTTTTCAGTTGTTAAATGTTGAGGAAGATGCAATGCTTTTTCTTTGCTAGAGATGCTGCCTTTGGGTACATTTTTAGTGTCTTTACTTTGTTGTTCTTGTACACCTGTAGCATTTATTGAGCTCCTGTTAATTAAGAGGTAGCCATGTGGGATATACAAATGTGTACAGCATTGTCTTTGTTCTCAAGAAATTTATTATCTAGTACGTCACATGGGCTCATGGAAAGGAATAAAGGAGTGTCTCACACAGGACAAACTCTTGTCACCCCTTATGCTAATGGGATAAAAGGAACATTTGTGATTTCTTAGTTGAGACCAATTCATCAGGATAAGAAGTAGAAAAGGTATGTAGAAAGAAAAATAAAGACAGCTGAAATGCCCTGTGCACTTTATCTTAAAAATTTCTGATTTGGGTTTCGTAGGTAATTTAACAGGGAATTTAGGATTTGACGTTTATTATTCTGGTTTTGATCCAGTTAACATCTGGGATGTGGGTTCAGTAGGGAATGCTTGGTGGCAACTCATGTTCTTCAGAACAGATGTGTATGTGGACAAGAGACAGAGCAAGCCATTGGAAAAAGAGCACTTTCCCTCTGCTTGGTGGGAATCTCTTCTGTTGTTTAGGGTTTCTGGGTGTCATTTCTGGAGCAAGGGCATGTCTTCTGTGGGTAGACAAGAGTGAGGAAATATCACTAAGAGTAAATGTGGTGTGTGGTAGTGGCAGATAAAGACCAGGAGAGCCAGTCAGGAATTTACTAAGCAGTGTTCCACAGGATACTGGTTTTATGATATACACTCTGATGGGAATCCTTTGGACATATCTGTGTTCAGGAATTGGAAGAACTGCAGAAGGAACAGAAATGGAAAAGTAGGAGTTGCAGGTAAGCGTGGGTTCTTAGGAGCCATGGGTGAGGACGTCCTGGGACCCTGGAGTTTCAGTGAGGTCAAGTGCACTGGGACTGAAGAAAGCTTCTGGATCAGGAGTATTTAGAGCCATCTTTTGAGACATCTGACTTTTGCTATATGGTGGTCTTAGTATTGATAATGCCTTTAAACATATATAACATATATAAAGAAGTGTTTTCAGTTCATATATTTTATGACATTTCCAGCCCCAGCTCTTGTGACCTCATCCATCAGATTGCTAGATCTTAAAGGATATGTATTACTATATCATAAATTTGCTTTTCAGAATATTTTGATAATGGTTTTTCTTTTTTTTATTATTATTATACTTTAGGTTTTACGGTACATGTGCACAATGTGCAGGTTAGTTACATATGTATACATGTGCCATGCTGGTGCACTGCACCCACTAACTCGTCATCTAGCATTAGGTATATCTCCCAATGCTATCCCTCCCCCCTCCCCCCACCCCACAACAGGCCCCAGAGTGTGATGTTCCCCTTCTTGTGTCCATGTGTTCTCATTGTTCAATTGCCACCTATGAGTGAGAATATGTGGTGTTTTGTTTTTTGTTCTTGCGATAGTTTACTGAGAATGATGATTTCCAATTTCATCCATGTCCCTACAAAGGACATGAACTCATCATTTATTATGGCTGCATAGTATTCCATGGTGTATATGTGCCACATTTTCTTAATCCAGTCTATCATTGTTGGACATTTGGGTTGGTTCCAAGTCTTTGCTATTGTGAATAATGCTGCAATAAACATACGTGTGCATGTGTCTTTATAGCAGCATGATTTATAATTCTTTGGGTATATACCCAGTAATGGGATGGCTGGGTCAAATGGTATTTCTAATTCTAGATACCTGAGGGATCGCCACACTGACTTCCACAATGGTTGAACTAGTTTACAGTCCCACCAGCAGTGTAAAAGTGTTCCTATTTCTCCACATCCTCTCCAGCACCTGTTGTTTCTTGACTTTTTAATGATTGCCATTCTAACTGGTGTGAGATGGTATCTCATTGTGGTTTTGATTTGCATTTCTCTGATGGCCAGTGATGGTGAGCATTTCTTCATGTGTTTTTTGGCTGCATAAATGTCTTCTTTTGAGAAGTGTCTGTTCATGTCCTTCGCCCACTTTTTGATGGGATTGTTTGTTTTTTTCTTGTAAATTTGTTTGAGTTCATTGTAGATTCTGGATATTAGCCCTTTGTCAGATGAGTAGGTTGCGAAAATTTTCTCCCATTCTGTAGGTTGCCTGTTCACTCTGATGGTAGTTTCTTTTGCTGTGCAGAAGCTCTTTAGTTTAATGAGATCCCATTTGTCAATTTTGGCTTTTGTTGCCATTGCTTTTGGTGTTTTAGACATGAAGTCCTTGCCCATGCCTATGTCCTGAATGGTAAAGCCTAGGTTTTCTTCTAGGGTTTTTATCGTTTTAGATCTAACGTTTAAGTCTTTAATCCATCTTGAATTGATTTTTGTATAAGGTGTAAGGAAGGGATCCAGTTTCAGCTTTCTACATAGGGCTAGCCAGTTTTCCCAGCACCATTTATTAAATAGGGAATCCTTTCCCCATTGCTTGTTTTTCTCAGGTTTGTCAAAGATCAGATAGTTTTAGATACGCGACGTTATTCCTGAGGGCTCTGTTCTGTTCCATTGATCTATATCTCTGTTTTGGTACCAGTACCATGCTGTTTTGGTTACTGTAGCCTTATAGTATAGTTTGAAGTCAGGTAGTGTGATGCCTCCAGCTTTGTTCTTTTGACTTAGGCTTGACTTGGCGATGCAGGCTGTTTTTTGGTTCCATATGAACTTTAAAGCAGTTTTTTCCATTTCTGTGAAGAGAGTCATTGGTAGCTTGATGGGGATGGCATTGAATCTGTAAATTACCTTGGGCAGTATGGCCATTTTCACGATATTGATTCTTCCTACCCATGAGCATGGAATGTTCTTCCATTTGTTTGTATCCTCTTTTATTTCCTTGAGCAGTGGCTTGTAGTTTTCCTTGAAGAGGTCCTTCACATCCCTTGTAAGTTGGATTCCTAGGTATTTTATTCTCTTTGAAGCAATTGTGAATGGGAGTTCACCCATGATTTGGCTCTCTGTTTGTCTGTTGTTGGTGTATAAGAATGCTTGTGATTTTTGCACATTGATTTTGTATCCTGAGACTTTGCTGAAGTTGCTTATCAGCTTAAGGAGATTTTGGGCTGAGACAATGGGGTTTTCTAGGTATACAATCATGTCATCTGCAAACAGGGCCAATTTGACTTCCTCTTTTCCTAATTGAATACCCTTTATTTCCTTCTCCTGCCTAATTGCCCTGGTCAGAACTTCCAACACTATGTTGAATAGGAGTGGTGAGAGAGGGCATCCCTGTCTTGTGCCAGTTTTCAAAGGGAATGCTTCCAGTTTTTGCCCATTCAGTATGATATTGGCTGTGGGTTTGTCATAGATAGCTCTTATTATTTTGAAATACGTCCCATCAATACCTAATTTATTGGGAGTTTTTAGCATGAAGCGTTGTTGAGTTTTGTCAAAGGCCTTTTCTGCATCTATTGAGATAATCATGTGGTTTTTGTCTTTGGTTCTGTTTATATGCTGGATTACATTTATTGATTTGTGTATATTGAACCAGCCTTGCATCCCAGGGATGAAGCCCACTTGATCATGGTGGATAAGCTTTTTGATGTGCTGCTGGATTCGTTTTGCCAGTATTTTATTGAGGATTTTTGCATCAATGTTCATCAAGGATATTGGTCTAAAATTCTCTTTTTTTGTTGTGTCTCTGCCCGGCTTTGGTATCAGGATGATGCTGGCCTCATAAAATGAGTTAGGGAGGATTCCCTCTTTTTCTATTGATTGAAATAGTTTCAGAAGGAATGGTAGCAGTTCCTCCTCGTACCTCTGGTAGAATTCGGCTGTGAATCCATCTGGTCCTGGACACTTTTTGGTTGGTAAGCTATTGATTATTGCCACAATTTCGGATCCTGTTATTGGTCTATTCAGAGATTCAACTTCTTCCTGGTTTAGTCTTGGGAGAGTGTATGTGTCGAGGAATTTATCTGTTTCTTCTAGATTTTCTAGTTTATTTGCGTAGAGGTGTTTATAGTATTCTCTGATGGTAGTTTGTATTTCTGTGGGATCGGTGGTGATATCCCCTTTATCATTTTTTATTGTGTCTATTTGATTCTTCTCTCTTTTTTTCTTTATTAGTCTTGCTAGCGGTTTATCAATTTTGTTGATCCTTTCAAAAAAGCAGCTCCTGGATTCATTAATTTTTTGAAGGGTTTTTTGTGTCTCTATTTCCTTCAGTTCTGCTCTGATTTTAGTTATTTCTTGCCTTCTGCTAGCTTTTGAATGTGTTTGCTCTTGCTTTTCTAGTTCTTTTAATTGTGATGTTAGGGTGTCAATTTTGGATCTTTCCTGCTTTCTCTTGTGGGCATTTAGTGCTATAAATTTCCCTCTACATACTGCTTTGCATGCGTCCCAGAGATTCTGGTATGTTGTGTCTTTGTTCTCATTGGTTTCAAAGAACATCTTTATTTCTGCCTTCATTTCGTTATGTACCCAGTAGTCATTCAGGAGCAGGTTGTTCAGTTTCCATGTAGTTGAGCGGTTTTGAGTGAGATTCTTAATCCTGAGTTCTAATTTGATTGCACTGTGGTCTGAGAGATAGTTTGTTATAATTTCTGTTCTTTTACATTTGCTGAGGAGAGCTTTACTTCCAACTATGTGGTCAATTTTGGAATAGGTGTGGTGTGGTGCTGAAAAAAATGTATATTCTGTTGATTTGGGGTGGAGGGTTCTGTAGATGTGTATTAGGTCCGCTTGGTGCAGAGCTGAGTTCAATTCCTGGGTATCCTTGTTGACTTTCTGTCTCGTTGATCTGTCTAATGTTGACAGTGGGGTGTTAAAGTCTCCCATTATTAATGTGTGGGAGTCTAAGTCTCTTTGTAGTTCACTCAGGACTTGCTTTATGAATCTGGGTGCTCCTGTATTGGGCGCATATATATTTAGGATAGTTAGCTCTTCTTGTTGAATTGATCCCTTTACCATTAAGTAATGGCATTCTTTGTCTCTTTTGATCTTTGTTGGTTTAAAGTCTGTTTTATCAGAGACTAGGATTGCAACCCCTGCCTTTTTTTGTTTTCCATTTGCTTGGTAGATCTTCATCCTTTTATTTTGAGCCTATGTGTGTCTCTGCACATGAGATGGGTTTCCTGAATACAGCACACTGATGGGTCTTGACTCTTTATCCAATTTGCCAGTCTGTGTCTTTTAATTGGAGCATTTAGTCCATTTACATTTAAAGTTAATATTGTTATGTGTGAATTTGATCCTGTCATTATGATGTTAGCTGGTTATTTTGCTCATTAGTTGATGCAGTTTCTTCCTAGTCTCAATGGTCTTTACATTTTGGCATGATTTTGCAGTGGCTGGTACCGGTTGTTCCTTTCCATGTTTAGCGCTTTCTTCAGGAGCTCTTTTAGGGCAGGCCTGGTGGTGACAAAATCTCAGCATTTGCTTGTCTGTAAAGTATTTTATTTCTCCTTCACTTATGAAGCTTAGTTTGGCTGGATATGAAATTCTGGGTTGAAAATTCTTTTCTTTAAGAATGTTGAATATTGGCCCCCACTCTCTTCTGGCTGGTAGAGTTTCTGCCGAGAGATCCGCTTAGTCTGATGGGCTTCCCTTTGAGGGTAACCTGACCTTTCTCTCTGACTGTCCTTAACATTTTTTCCTTCATTTCAACTTTGGTGAATCTGACAATTATGTGTCTTGGAGTTGCTCTTCTTGAGCAGTATCTTTGTGGCATTCTCTGTATTTCCTGAACCTGAATGTTGGCCTGCCTTGCTAGATTGGGGAAGTTCTTCTGGATAATATCCTGCAGAGTGTTTTCCAACTTGGTTCCATTCTCCCCGTGACTTTCAGGTACACCAATCAGACGTAGATTTGGTCTTTTCACATAGTCCCATATTTCTTGGAGGCTTTGCTCGTTTCTTTTTATTCTTTTTTCTCTAAACTTCCCTTCTCGCTTCATTTCATTCATTTCATCTTCCATTGCTGATACCCTTTCTTCCAGTTGATCGCATCAGCTCCTGAGGCTTCTGCATTCTTCACGTAGTTCTCGAGCCTTGGTTTTCAGCTCCATCAGCTCCTTTAAGCACTTCTCTGTATTGGTTTATTCTAGTTATACATTCTTCTAAATTTTTTTCAAAGTTTTCAACTTCTTTGCCTTTGGTTTGAATGTCCTCTTGTAACTCGGAGTAATTTGATCGTCTGAAGCCTTCTCTCAGCTCGTCAAAGTCATTCTCCATCCAGCTTTGTTCCATTGCTGGTGAGGAACTGTGTTCCTTTGGAGGAGGAGAGGCGCTCTGCTTTTTAGAGTTTCCAGTTTTTCTGCTGTGTTTTTTCCCCGTCTTTGTGGTTTTATCTACTTTTGGTCTTTGATGATGGTGATGTACAGATGGGTTTTTGGTGTGGATGTCCTTTCAGTTTGTTAGTTTTCCCTCTAACAGACAGGACCCTCAGCTGCAGGTCTGTTGGAGTACCAGGCTGTGTGAGGTGTCAGTCTGCCCCTGCTGGGGGGTGCCTCCCAGTTAGGCTGCTCAGGGGTCAGGGGTCAGGGATCCACTTGAGGAGGCAGTCTGCCTGTCCTCAGATCTCCAGCTGCATGCTGGGAGAACCACTGCTCTCTTCAAAGCTGTCAGACAGTAACATTTAAGTCTGCAGAGGTTACTGCTGTCTTTTTGAGCCCTTTCTGTGCCACATGCTGATTTTTGTGACCTTGAGCAAGCTGCTTAACTTTTTTGTTCCCAGCTTCCTTATCCATAACAGTACTATTGGGTTATTGTGAACTTTATAGGAATATAAGTGAAATGCTTAGAATGACATCTCCCTCCCCAAAAGCACTCTGTAAGTGGTCTATTGTGGCATCCCCAAAGAATCAGCTCATACGAAATCAGCCTAGGTTTTCTGAAAAGGGCTTCCTTTCTTCTCCCCATGCCAGCTTCATTAACTGACCAGGCTGCCCTCACCTCAACATCAGGCCTTGTGTCGGGAAGTGTAACTGTCAGCAACAGGGCTGCAAGAGCCTGGGTGACTTGGCCAGAGTGGGATGAAGGGGCATGGGTAATATAGAAGAAATTGTAGGGAATCGGGGAGGAGGTCCTTTGGGATCCTAGGTGGGGGAAAAAACAGGTTTTCCCTTCACATGGACACAATGTCTCTGTCAGCAAGCCCCAGGGACAAAAACAATGGGAAAGTATTCAGTCAAGAAGGATTTTGCATCAAGTATGTAAGCATGATTGGTCAGAATATACTTTTTCTCTCCCTCTGCTCTTCCTCCTCCCACACTTCGGTTTTTTGTAAACCTTCTATTGGCCTTATTTCTTATTCTGATTTCCAAAATAATTTTACTAAATTTGATAAACTGAAAAATATAGTAATTACATGTATAATTTGTGATTATTAACAAAGTTTAATTTTTAAAAATTCTGAAGTACTTCTCTAAACTTTTAGTATCACTTGGATCAATGAAAACATAACTTATGCAGGGTCTACTTTTCAGGTGATGAAAATATGAGATCTACTCTTTGTATTCTGAAAGCCGTTTTATTGGGTGCCTTTTGTTGGTGTTTTAAATGTGTGAGATCTCTTTTCCACATGGTCTGTTATTAATTATTCATTCTTCCTATCTTTATTTGTAGATCACCTATTTAGATAACTCAATTTGCCCGACACTTGGGCATGTAGTTATACTAGTAACATCTGTTAATTCATGACTATTTTTGACTAGCAGTGTTAGGGGCATTAACAAGTTTTATTTATTGCTGTTCTTTTAAACTGCTCATAGTACTTCTAACCTTCAAACAGCTTTTTCTGGCTCGTTCTCACTCCACATTTGACATGCAACAAAAGTGACTTTTGTCTTGTTATGGAAGTGGGCCAAATTGTTTGACATAATGACAGGTGGGATATTATTTAGGGCTGCCGAGACCTTGGGCTCCACGAATGCTTTGTTCCCTCTAGATTGTGTTTTGACTTGCATGTTTCTGACAGCCATTGTGGCATTCACCTCTTTTATTGAGTTTGGAACATGCCTGTGAGAGCTAGCCTCATAAAGGTTTTAACTGTAGTGTTAGCAGTTTCTTAAACATTTTACATATTAACATTTATTATAGTTTCATTTTGGTGTTAATATTATACTTACCATTTATTATGGTTTGGTTTGGTTTGTTTTTACATAGTTTCCCATTATGAGGAATACAGCCACTGTGTTTATGGCTGTGAATATTTGTGCTTTGTGATTTCTTGGCCTTTTGGACACACACAGAATGTCTTGACATGTATTTACTTACAAATTGAAAAAATACAACAGATCTTACCGTTTCAGGTAAATGAATTCCTTAAGAAATTAAAACTTTTGCTGATTAGATATCTTCAGTACCAGAAGTACCAGAGTATACTATTACAACAGGAAGTGATAGGCCAATCCCAAATTTGAGATTTATTATAATACTCCACAGGGGTAGTGATTTATCTTTTTTTCTTACTTTTCAATAAAAATATCTTTATTTGATACCTTTAAAGTTTCAGGCACTGTGCCATGCATGGGGGAGGTAGCAATGAAGCAGACAAACAGAAACCTTGTCCTGGGCTTGTGTGCCACAATTTGTATCTCTGGCTCATCATAGCAAATGCCCTGTCTATAGGATCTCACCAAAAGCAAATTCTAACACAGATTGGTAGCAGTAATGCTGTAGCTACTGTTCACTGAGAGCTAGATGCTTTGTGTATGATATTGCCAACCCTTACAAGTGAGAAAGAGCTGTTACTAGCTTCATTTTATAGGTAAATGAACTGAGGCTCAGAAACATTAATTAATTTGTCCCAAATCACAGGTAGTCATGAGAATTTTAAAACTCCAGTCTTTTTGTTGCCAGTTGTTCCTTTCTATTATGATTTATCTCTGAATACAGGTTTTAGACTAATGCTATTAACTTCTTTTTAAGATAAAATCAAGGCATTGACATTTAAAACTTGGTGGTTTGGATCAACAAAGAAAATGGCTATTTTTGTATCTTGACTTTTGTTTTTTTGAATGAATGAAGGAAGAATGATTGGCCTTAAAATTTTACCAGCCACATATTTTTGGATACAGTTTATGTATATATACATTATGGCATGAGGATTTTTTTTTCTAATTTTATTGCAGAGTGACAATATATCTGTCACGGTTCTTCTTGGCATCTTCACAAATATCCACGTCAGTCCCAGTGATCTTAAGTGTATGGGATCCCTCTTCCTAGTTTTTGTCACAAGGCACAGATGTTTCAGGTCAGCAATGCAGAACGATCCCTTATGCAGTCTGAATTTTGTTTTTGAGTTGGACCTACTTGTAGCGTTCTGTGAGATTTTGCAGTAGATAGATCTATTTATTGAAGGGAGACAATGCCCCAGAAGAGCGACTGCTGCATGCAACCATGCAGGACTCTCAGGTGCCCATCCAGCGCCTCAGGTAGATGCTTCTCTTGGGCCACTAAGAAGCTTCCCCTCCTGTGACCACAGATGGGAAAATTGCCTCAGGACCTGCTGCAGGGAATATTGCTGGCAGGCTTTCTTTGGTTTCTTGTGCTGATCTAGGCATAATTGTGGTCAAGAAAATATTGAGTGAATGATTAACATATAGTTCTCAATTTTATTCAGCTGCCGAACTTGTAGCACTAGGATATAATCCAGGCCAACTACCTTGCTGTGGCTTAGGATTTCAGGTTTTAAAGTCAAAATTCAAAGCTGTAAAAACATTTGAATCCTTTTAATGTATTGTAAAGATAAATAATGACTAATGAGATAAAATTTATGTCAACACACATATTTCTTCCTCTACCCTCTAGTCTCCTATTGTTTTATTTGGGGCTGTAATAAGCATCTGTAATGATCATTCCAACTGAGGTAGTTTCAAATAATGAGGGTTGGTAACCACTTCAGATTTTTTTTTTTTTTTTTTTTTTTTTGAGACAGAGTCTTGCACTGTCACCCAGGCTGGAGTGCAGTGACACAATCTCGGCTCACTGCAACCTCCGTCTCCGAGGTTCAAGCATTTCTTGTGCCTCTGTCTCCTGAGTAGTTGGGGTTACAAGCGTGCACCACCATGCCCGGCTAGTTTTTTTGTATTTTTAGTAGAGATAGGGTTTTGCCATGTTGGCCAAGTTGGTCTCCAAGTCCTGGCCTCAAGTGATCCGACCGCCTCAACCTCCCAAAGTGTTGGGATTACGGGCATGAGCCACCATGCCTGGCCCACCTCAGATCTTTAATACTGATTTTCATACACCTGAGGATAGATTTGGGGAAACTGCCAATTCATGGAAAAATGCTTTCCTCTTTTTTTCAAAATACCATAATGACTTCTTACTTGATTTCATCTCATCTCAGATGTGTGAGGTTCAGGGAGACAGGGTGTGAGTGAGGATGGTGGGTGGTAAAGGCGGTGAACAAGCAGCTGGTCTGTTTGCAAGGGTTTCCAGGGTCTGGTTCCACCTTCGTTTCCCGTCCTTTTCCTCTATGACCTCGGGTGCAGGGTGTCAGCCACACTGGCCTTCTTGCAGACCCAGGACACAGCAACCGTGCTCCTGCCTCACGGCCTTCTGCTCCCAGACGCCTTCACAACTTGCTTCTTTTCTTTTCTTTCCCTTTCCCTTTCTTTTTTTTTTTTGTTTTTTTAGATGGAGTCTTGCTCTGTTGCCAGGCTGGAGTGGCGCGATCTTGGCTCACCGCAACCTCCATGTCCCAGGTTCAAGCGATTCTCCTGCCTCAGCCTCCCAGGTAGCTGGGATTAAAGGCGCCTGCCACTACGCCCGGCTAATTTTTGTATTTTTGGTAGAGACAGGGTTTCACCATGTTGGCCAGGATGTTCTTGATCTCGTGATCCACCCACCTCGGCCTCCCAAAGTGCTGGGATTACAGGTGTGAGTCACCGCGCCCGGCCCCCTTCTTTCTTTTTGGTCACCTCTCAGTGACGTGTTCCCTCACCTTGTTTGACATGCAGTCTGCTCATACCTCATCCTTTTCTCTGCTTTTACATTTCTCCATAGCATTTATCACTATCTAACGTACTCTACATATTTCACTTATCTGTTGTTTATTCTTCCCACACTAAAGTATAAGAGGTCCATTAAGGCAGAGATTTTTATCTGTGTAGCACCTCCTAGAATGGATAAGCTAGAATGGTGTCTCAAATGGTGGTGGCCCATCGTAGGTGCCCAGTCATCATGATTTGAATGAATGGAAGGAGATTTTCTGTGTAATCACAGCACTTCAAAGCTAGCTTCATTTTGTTTTGCTGTTTTCAAGAACTTTAAAATAAAATATGAATATTCAAGCTGTGCTTCCTGTTGTGTATTTAAGGAAAAAAGAAAACAAAAAAACGAAAAACGAGCATCATGGAGGCCTCTTCTGGAGTCAAAGCAGCAAGGCAGTCGTGATGAGCAGTGTGGAGCAGAGGGGCAGAGAATGCAGGGACCCGGGAACAGTACGCCAGGGTCGCCTTGCTTGGGAGGCTGGACAAGTGATCCCAGTCAGTTTTTCACCTATCAAACATGGGTGTTTGTGTCACTGATGTCCCTTCTGTGGTTTAATGACTACAGAGAACAGTTTTGAAGAAAGGAAAACGTAGCTTAGTGAAAAAATGAGGGAGGTTTATTATTTGCTTATGTATTTTTTTTAATTTTGAAAATGTGGTTATATTATTTGTTGTCATTTCGTTAATAAAGCTTATTTCATAAATGTAAAGAAATTCAAAAGGTAGATTCTAATACCAATGTTGAGAATGGGGCAGTCCTACTTTCATTTAGAAGACTATATTTATTACTATGCAAATTTTTGGGGGCCAGTGTCTCTGAGCTTCGCCCTGTCAGAATTATTTATTATATATTTGGGGTTGGTAAGTTTAAAAAGTATTTAAGGATTAAATACATTTTTTTTTCTTTAGGAGTTGAACAGTAGTGCATTTTTTTTTTTTTTTTTTTTGAGACGGAGTCTCGCTCTGTCGCCCAGGCTGGAGTGCAGTGGTGCGATCTCGGCTCACTGCAAGCTCCGCCTCCCGGGTTCACGCCATTCTCCTGCCTCAGCCTCCCGAGTAGCTGGGACTACAGGCGCCCGCTACCACGCCCGGCTAATTTTTTGTATTTTTAGTAGAGACGGGGTTTCACCGTGTTAGCCAGGATGGTCTCGATCTCCTGACCTCGTGATCCACCCGCCTCGGCCTCCCAAAGTGCTGGGATTACAGGCGTGAGCCACCGCGCCCGGCCAGTAGTGCATTTTTAAGTCTTGCTAAATAAGTGAATAATTTTCTAAAACATCACTTAAGCGGATGATAATGAGCTCTGTAGGCAAAACTGTGAAATATTTTCTAATATTCTAATCAGATTTTTAATATGCCTCAAATTAAAAAAACAATAGTTCAAATAAATTACATATTTTCAAATATACACCTCTTTTGGGTTCATAAAGAAACACTGGACATGATGACTTTTTTTTTTTTTTTTTTTTTTTTTTTTTTGAGACAGAGGATCACTCTGTCGCCCAGGCTGGAGTGCAGAGGCGTGATCTCGGCTCACTATAACCTCCACCTCCCAGGTTCAAGAGATTCTCCTGGCTTAGCCTTCCAAGTAGCTGGGATTACAGGCACCCGCCACCACACCCAGCTAATTTTTGTGTTTTTAGTAGAGATGGGGTTTCACCGTGTTGGCCAGGCTGGTGTTGAACTCCTGAACTCAGGCAATCTGCTCACCTTGGCCCCCCAAATTGTTGGGATTACAGGTGCCACCCGGCCTGATGACATGTTTAATGGACGTCACTACCAGCAATTTTAGCTGAAATCTAGGACCTTTTAAACAACTTTGAAGTGTGTGATGGATGCCCCTAGTCTAGTGGGCAGAATGGATCGGAGGTCGGAAGGTCTGGATCTCCTTCGCAGCCGTCGCTCTGACTCACATGACAATATTTAGAAAAGCAGATTCTTCTGTCTTGACTCCGTTGATCTCTGCTGGACTTCCACGCTTAGACTTTGATGGTTGCTATTCCACACATTGCTCCCAGGCTCCACATCCCTTCCCAGGAATCCTGAATATGGTAGTTGGAGAGATTCTTGAACATCTTGGGTTATATGGAACTCTCTACCTCTCAAGATATTCTTTTCTACCTTCGGATAGCTCTACACTCTCATGAGGGTTTTGGCTTGTTTTGGGGGTTTGGTGTTTTAGTCTCTTTTTACTCATTTTTATTAAATGTGCTAGATACCGCTCGTACTGGTATCTTGGCACCAGTATCTTTTTTAGGGACATTTTTCCTCCTTCTAATGCATTAACTTCTCTTTTCAGCTTTTTTTTTTTTTTTTGAGTCTTACTCTGTCACATAGGCTGGAGTGCAGTGGTGCCATCTTGGCTCACTGCAACCTCTGCCTCCCAGGTTCAAGTGATTCTCCTCAGTAGCTGGAATTACAGGTACATGCCACCACGCCTGGCTGATTTTTGTATTTTTAGTGGAGACAGGGTTTCATCATGTTGGCCAGAATGGTCTCGGACCCTGACCTCAAGTGATCCGCCTGCCTTGGCCTTCCAAAGTGCTGGGATTATAGGCATGAGCCACTGTGCCTAGCCCCTTTTCAGCTTTTTATCATTGAAACACTTGATGTGAGGTATTAATGCTAATATAAAGATTGAGTGGGTTGAGGCTGGAGATGTTTCTCTGTGGTGTACCCCGAAGTGCCTCTAGACCCGTGCTGCCCAAGGTGGTTGTCATGTGCACTATTTTGATTTATATTTTAATTAATTAAAGCCAAATGAAATGAAAAATTTAGCCCTTAAACTTCACTAGCTACATGTTAAGTACTCATTAGCCACATGTGGCTATTGGACAGCATTGATACAGAATATTTCTATTACCACAGAAAGTTCTGCTGGACAGTGTGGCTATAGTCCGATATTGATCCCCAGTACTCTGAAAAATAAGAATTCCATGAATTATTTCTCCATACCTCCCTGCATTTATTTCTTCAATTTTACTATAGCAGATGATTAAAGTGACACTTTATTTGAGGGAGTCAGGCAAGTTTAAATGGAAGAGATGCAGTTTAATTTGTGTTTTGAAGGAAGAGTATGATTTTGAGAATAGATATTGGTGGAATTGTTAATTTCTTGGCAAGAGTGGGTAACAAAGACATGAGTAATTCAACATTACAGGCAATTAAAGTGTGAGGTTTTCACCTAGAGATGTACTTGGAAAAAGAAGAAGTTGGGGAAATTAAGTTCTATTAAAAAATATGTGTGTACATATATGTAAAACAGTGATGTAAGTGTCAAGTATGAATTAGAGGAAGAATTTGTTCATTCATTTAGTAATTATTTGTTGAGTTTCTACTCTGTTCTGACACTGAACTACATGTAGAAGATATTATCATGAGACCTCTCCCTGGGAGGGTCTCATGATAGTATCAGTGGGTGAGATAAACACAGAAGAACATCACTGTATTTTGCCATGTGCTGTGGTTGAGAGAGGGATGATGTCCTTAGGAAGTAAGGCTGGTGGCCTGGGAAGGCATTACCAAGCAGGCACTTTCAGTGTTTGTCACCGAGGTGGTAGTTTGACAAACACATTGTTTTATTCAAAAGCACTTTGTTTCATTTTCCTCATCAGGCTAGGAACTGCCACATTTTGATCATTTCACAGTGTATTCATATTAAATGGGCAGTAATGCTGTATTTATACAGAAATGGAAATTCCCTTTCTCAGCAGTCTCAAATATACCAGTAATACATTTTTTTATTTTAAAAAATATAATGAGGTTAAATTAAGATCATATTAACATCAGAATACTTTTGGTTGGTGTAAAGTGAACTTTTTATTACCTGGTTGCAGATTAATGGTAGTAAGAGTAACAGAGAGTATACCAATGGAAAAAAAATTATTCTAAAACAAGATTGGTTGGTTAAGATTGATTGGTCCTCAAGTCCAGCCATGTGGCAGAGTGACTTTTGGAGCATTAAAGTATGTGCATATCTCTATATTCTAATCCTGGAGATTTTGAGTTAGTAAGTCTGGGGTTATTTCCTGGCATCTGCGGTTTTTTTAAGCACCTGAAGTGATTCTGATGGGTAGCCAGGGTTGAAAACCATGGTCTCTTGTGTTGAAATTTGTAATAAATAATAGATGTCACATTTTGTATCTCACAGCATGGAATGGCCCTCTTTTACATCTGTCAGAGTCTGACATTATTCTTGTGCAGATTTGAGGCTTATGGTATTGGTGAACATTCAAAGTTAATAAAAAGATGGAACTCAAGAAAAACAGAGGTACTTACATGTGCAGTGGCTAATAGCAAGAGCTCTGAAACCAGTTTGCCTGTCTTTGAATCCTGCCTTACTGTTTACCACCTTTGTAATTTAGGGACTTACTTAACTTTGTGGACCTCAATTTCTTCACTTGAAAATTAGGGATAATAGTATCTATCTTGTAGAGCTTAATTTGTGATAATTGAAGGAGTTATATGTGTCTTATTTAATAAGATGTACTTGTTATTACCTCTGGAATCAGGAGACATATGTTTCTTATTTGGTGACATACAAGCAGTAGAATGTTTTGGTTCAGTTGGCAACATTCTTTCTTTCTGTGTGGTGCATAAAATAAAATCTTATCTTACATTGATGATGTCTTACATTCATTTATGACATGCTAATAATTAGATGTATTAATTATTAAAAATAAAGTGGAATGCTTTGGTCTTTTCTTTAAACTGAAAAATTACAATGATGAGTATTAATTTCAAGCGAGTATTGGGCATTTCTCTGTGCCAGGGACAGTGCTAAGCATTTAATCTTCATAACAGGAATCATAGTAGGTATTTTGGGGCATGATTTTGAGGCAGCTAAGAAAATCACAAAACTAAGATTTAAACACACTTGACTCTAAACCCCAGCCTAATAACCACTGTGCTATACTGACTATCCTGATATTTAATCTACAGTTCTGTGCCTAATCCGCAGAGTTAGTTAGTCCTTTTTAGGTAATGTGGCAAGGAATATAAACCAAGGGGAGTCCAATTTAGTGTTTTCTCCGTTAACCACTCAGCCCTAAATGCTAACCTATGAGGTTAAGGGAAAAATTGGTTAAGAAAGAGAATACAGTAATTTGACATCCTTAGGGCAAGATTCTGGACTGTACAAATACCAGAAGCATCATGGCCAGACATGATAGTAAGTAGGAAGACTGTGAATGTCATATAGTAAATAGTGGACCAGCCAACGATTAGGTGATTTTCTTCATTGTTGATGGTCATTTGACTGACATGCCTATGTGTGGCTTTCTTTGTATTTATCCTGTTTGGGATTTGCTGACCTTTATGAATCTGTAGATTTATGACTTATATCCTTTTAGGGAAATATATGTCTTCTGCCTCATTCTCTCTCTCTCTCTCTTTTTTTTTCTTCTCTGGGAGCCCAATTACAAGAATGTTATAATATTGTCCCACAGGTTCTTAAGATCTCTTCATTTTGTTTGATACATTTTCTCTCTATTCCTCAGATTCAGTAGTTTTTATCGCTCTATCTTTACAGGAAAGTCTTTACTGACTCTGTCATCACCAATCTGCTAAACCCATTTGCTGCTTAACAATGTCGATTTTATATCCGTATGATGTTGTTTAGTTTTAGAATTTTTATTAGATTCTTTTTTACAACAGATTTTTTTCTGATGATATTCCTTTCATTCATCATGGGCATATTTTTCTGTATAACCTTGATGAAACTTATAGCAGCTGGTTGAAGATCCTTCTCTGCTAATTTCAACATCTGGGTCTACTCAGGGTCAGGGGTCAGTCTTCATTGATTTTCTTCTGAAAATGGATCATGTGGTTTTTTTTGTTTTGTTTTGTTTTTGTTTTCCTGGATTCTGTTACATTTGTTCCAACAATGTTTTTTTTTTCCCCCCCTGGGTAAAAAATTAATTTTGGTGACTCAAACTGCAAACTCAGACTCATGGGTGGTAACTGAAATCATACTTCGTTTGTTTTAGTCTTAGTCTGGTTTAAATGTCAGCCAGAGATTTGGGCAGAGTTTATACACAGAATTTATGCATCGTCTTCTCTAGGTCTGTCTCTTTGCTGGGATTCACTGTTATTGCCAACCTCATTTCCAATAGCTATGGTTGCCTTAAACTCTGTCCTTTGGTTCTTCAAGCCAGTAAGACAATGGGTTTTCTATTGGAGATTTTGGTATCTGTGGAGCTTGCAAATTCATAAAAATTAGGAAATTCACTAGAGCTATTCCTTTATCTTTATTGCAAGTGTCACTTCCCTTCCAGAATCTTCCCACTTTTGATGATCTCAGATGCCCTTAGCTAGTTTTGTTATTGTTGTTTGTTTGTTTTTAGATGTCATTCATGGTTTATAGTTACTATATGTGGGCAATTTAAAAATAGGTCTTTTAAAATTTCTTCTGGAGAGGACTCTTCTGGATATCTTCCTTTTTAATACCCGCAGATGTTTCTTGTGAAGAAGACATCTATAAAGGTTACATTTCGGGCTGAAGAACTAATGAAATTTCTGCTTCCTAACACCCTGCAGTGGAGGTTTACAACTCTTGCTTCATTTTCCCTGATAAATGAATGTATTCTTTTGTAACTTTAGTGTCTTTCATGAATATAATTTATTCTGAATTTTCAGTGAGCACATTTGATGTGGTTTTTATAGGAATTAGAATGCTTTCTTTTATATATTGAAACATTTGACCTGCTAACAACTCTTGTGTTATATAATTGTGTATGTAATAGGAGGAAAAGTAAACTCTGCTTAATTTGCCTAGAGAATTGCCCAACTATTTACTTAGTTAACATAATGTTAACCTAGTTAGCAATGCCTATCCATTATTAGAAATATTTTATCTTTATTTTCTTGATTATAGTTTAAAAAATCAAAGGTTTCTGCTTGATCATATAGGAACTGGAAAAAATTTTTCTCAGTGTGTTTAATCCCTTATTTCTCAAAATTATGTACTGTGAAATTTTAGTATGTTGAATAAGTACCTTATTAGATAATGTATGTCTCACTCTTCTACAATTTTCTCATTTGAACTATTATGATGCAAAATTTGATAGGACAACTATAAAAAGTTAATAAGTGTAGGTTTCAATGTGGAAAATAATGAAAAATGTAAAAATTTAATTTCTTTTTATACTTGCTAATTTGTTTAAAAATCTCAGAAAAGCCATAAGAGCTTTAATTTTGAAATGTCTCATTCTAGGCTGCATTGTGTATATGCCATTTGTGTGGTTGTTTTTCTGGGATTTAGTTAAATTCATTTTTATGTCTTATTTCTTAATTTATTGTACTTTCCCTTTGTCAAGACCAGACATGGAAACTGTACTTTCAAATAGAATCACTGTAAGACTATTAATTTTTAAGGATTATAGAATGGTTATATATTTGACCATTTACAAATCGTTATATATTTACCATTTACATTTTATATAAGGCCTATTTTTTGATAATGTAAAATTTACATTTCTAAATATTTTGGGCAATTATGTAATATGCATGTATCAATGGATGGGGAAACAGTAAAAATATATATTTTCTTGTGTAGATTATACAATTTGGGAAATATTCTTCAGCAATCTCTTATTATTTAACATTGGGAATTTTAAAAAACAATCAAAAAGTGGTATGTAAGGATCTTGCATCAGTTGCAAGGAGCAGAAAAAACTTAGCTAAAAGTTTCCTAACGATGAGAAGTTTATAAGCTTATAAAGCAGAAAGTTGGACACAGGTCTAGGTCAGCAGTGTTAGTGTAGACAGAGGCTCTTTCTATTGTTTGGGCCTGACAGTCTTATTGTATTATCTTGGTCCTAGGGCTAGTTTCCTCATTCTTATAAAGTGGTTGCTACAGCTCCAGATATCTGGATTTTTTCCCCATGATGGTATTAGAGGAGAAAACCTCTTTTAAAAGTTTCTCCTGTATTCTATTCCACTGGCTGGGGGAAGAGAATTCTTACAATTGTCTTGCAACCATAATAATCTATGCTCTTGGTCTAGACCATGTGTTTCCTGACCACCTGGAAGAGTGAATACCAGAACAAAATTAGGACTCTGGCTGTTACCAAGGAAGGAATGTAAGGTGGAGACTGTTGTTCTTACTCACAGATTTTAGATGGCAAAGATATTTCAGTTCCATGAAAGAGCCATATTCTCTTTGCCTTCAGGACCTTGTCAGGACCAAGCACACCTTGCTGTGTGGAGGTTTTTCTCTCTGTTTACCCAACAGACTTCTTCCCATCCTTTAACTTTCAGCTTAGAGATAACTTCTTTTCCGAAGTCTTAAATATCAGAAAATACAGGGACTTTAAAGCTAAAAGTACTACTACCGGTAAAGAAAGATACTTTGTAATATAAAGGTTCAATTCTTAGGAAGAGATAACAATTCTAAATTTGTCTCCATTTAACCTAGCATCAAACCATATAAAGCAGAAGTTGACTGAACTAAAAGGTGAAGTAGACAAATTACAAACATAGCAGGAGATTTTAGCCTATTTTTCTTTTCTGTTTTTTTTTTTTCTTTTTTTTTTTTTTGAGACAGAGTCTTGCTCTGTCACCCAGGCTGGAGTGCAGTGGTGCAATCTTGGCTCACTGCAACCTCCACCTCCCAGGTTCAAGCGATTCTCCTGCCTCAGCCTCCCATGTAGCTGGGATTACAGGTGCTTGCCACCACGCCCGACTAATTTTTGTATTTTTAGTAGGGATGGGGTTTCACCGTGTTGGCCAGGCTGGTCTTGAACTCCTGACCTCGTGATCTGCCCGCCTAGGCCTCCCAAAGTGCTGGCATTACAGGCGTGAGCCACTGCACCCAGCCAGCCCACTTTTCTTAATACCTGCTAGAAGCAGATGGAAAAGAAGGAAGATTTAAACAACACAATTATCACTTTAGCTAAGGGCCAAATCATGTGGTTTAATATATGCTTAGATTAGGGTATATGGCACCAGACTTAAACATATTCTTCCAAAGAATACAAAAATAGGGAATACTTCTCAACTTCCTTTATAAAGTGGTACAACTTAGTGAGAATAGTTAGAGAAAGGAACATTACAGACCAATCTCACTTATGAACCTTCATACCAAAAAACCCCACAAAAAATCCTGCAAATAAAAGCCAGTTATATATAATAAGCCTAACATAATATTAGCCAATTGAGTTTATTCCCGGAATATATAGATGGTTTAACATTTTAAAATCAATTAGTGTATTTTACCATGTTATCTAAATAAAGATGAAAAATTATATGGTGCTTTTACCAGAAGCAGAAAATTGATAATAAAGGAACTTAAAAAATCTGCCATATCTATGTTTTCTACTGCTGCTCTACCAAATAACTACAAACCTAGTGGCTTAAAACAACAAAAACTTACTGTCTTATGGTTCTTACAGGAGACCTGAAGCCAACATAGGTGACACTGGCAGGCGGTGTCCTTCTAGAGGCTCCAGGGGAGAATGTATTTCATTGCCTATTGAAGCTTTAGAGGCTGCCTACATTCCTCGGCTCATGGCCCCTGCATCACTCTAACCTTTTTTGTTTTTTTTAAATTGTATTTTAAGTTCTAGGGTACATGTGTACAACGTACAGGTTTGTTACCTAGGTATACATGTGCCATGTTGGTTTGTTACACCCATCAACTCATTATTTACATTAGATATTTCTCCTAATACTATCCCTCCCCCAGCCCCACACCCCCTGACAGGCTCCGGTGTGTGATGTTCCCCGCCCTGTGTCCAAGTGTTCTCATTCATTTCCCACCTATGAGTGAGAAAATGCAGTGTTTTCCATCAATACCTAGTTTATTGATAGTTTTTAGGATGAAGGGATGTTCAATTTTGTTGAAGGCCTTTTTTGCATCTATTGAGATAATCATGTGGTTTTTGTTGTTGGTTCTGTTTATGTGATGGATTACGTTTATTGATTTGCGTATGTTGAACCAGCCTTGCATCCCAGGGATGAAGCCGACTTGATTGTGGTGGATAAACTTTTTGATGTGCTACTGGATTCGGTTTGCCAGTATTTTATTGAGGTTTTTCACATCGATGTTCATCAGGGATATTGGTCTAAAATTCTCTTTTTTCGTTGTGTCTCTGCTATGCTTTGGTATTAGGATGATGCTGGCCTCATAAAATGAGTTAGGGAGGATTCCCTCTTTTTCTAATCATTGGAATAGTTTCAGAAGGAATGGTACCAGCTCCTCCTTGTACCTCTGGTAGAATTCGGCTGTGAATCTATCTGGTCCTGGACTTTTTTTGGTTGGTAGTCTATTAATTATTGCCTCAATTTCAGAGCCTGTTATTGGTCTATTCAGAGATTCAACTTCTTCCTGGTTTGGTCTTAGGAGGGTGTATGTGTCCAGGAATTTATGCTATTTCTTCTACATGTTCCAGTTTATTTGTGTAGAGGTGTTGATAGTATTCTCTGATGGTAGTTTGTATTTCTGTGAGATCGGTGGTGATATCCCCTCTATCATTTTTTTATTGCGTCTATTCGATTCTTCTCTCTTTTCTTCTTTATTAGCCTTGCTAGCAGTCTATCAATTTTGATCTTTTCCAAAAACCAGCTCCTGGTTTTAGTGATTTTTTAAAGGGTTTTTTGTGTCTCTATGTCTTTCAGTTTTGCTCTGATCTTAGTTATTTCTTGCTTTCTGCTAGCTTTTGAATTTGTTTGCTCTTGCTTCTCTAGTTCTGTTAATTGTGATGTTAGGGTGTTGATTTTAGATGTTTTCTGCTTTCTCTTGTGGGCATTTAGTGCTATAAATTTCCCTCTACACACTGCTTTACATGTGTCCCAGAGATTCTGGTACATTGTGTCTTTGTTCTCATTGGTTTCAAAGAACATCTTTATTTCTGCCTTCATTTCGTTATGTACCCAGTGGTCATTCAGGAGCAGGTTGTTCAGTCTCCATGTTGTTGTGCGGTTTTGAGGCATCGCTCTAACCTTTTTATCTGTCATCACAGCATCTTCCCTGACTCTGGCCCTACTACCTCCCTCTTTTCCTTAAAAGGACCCTAGTGATTCCACTGGGCCCATCTGGGTAATAATCCAGGGCAAGCTCACCATCTTAAGATCCTTACCTTGATCACATATGTAGAGTCCCTTTTGCTTTGAGGTATAACATAGTCACAGGTTCTGAGGACTAGAACATGAACATTTGTGTTGGGGGAGATTATTCTGCTTAGTACTGCAGTGCTAAGAATGTGTGTAAAGAATATTCTACTTAATTATAAAAATCTTTCTGATACAGCAAATGAGACAGCGTTGCCCTCTAACACCATATGTATTTGACATTGGAATGGAGGACATACCCAATACATTTAGGCATATAAGTAAACAAAATATGATCTCAGGAAGAAATCTCTCATATTTGCAGATAAATATGATTGTAAACAAAGGAAATTCCTAATGAATCTATAGATAAATTACTGGAATAATACATAATTTTTGGCATTAATCTTAGCTCAGGTTGCCATAACAAAATACTGCACACTGGGTGTCTTCAACAACAGAAGTTTTTACTTTTGCAGTTCTGGAGGCCGGGAAGTCACAAGATCAAGGCAAATTCAGTTCTTGTTGAGGGCTCGCTTCCTTCCTTGTCGTGTCCCCATGTGGCAGGGAGAGAGAGGGAGTAAGCTCTCTGGTGTGTCTTCTCATAAGGGCACGAATCCCATGTGGAGTCCCCCACCCTCATGCCTCATCTAACCCTGCTTACCTCCCAAAGGCCCATCTCCATCCCCATATTGGTATTTTGGGAGGGGAAACAAACATTCAGTCCTTAATAGAAATATTGCTGGATGCAAAGTCAATACAGTGGATAAAATCAGTTGTATTTCTATAGAATAACAACAAACAGAAAAGAAAAATTTGAAAATATGCTGTTTATGATAGCATAAAATATCAATTAGAAGCAGTAAAAAATATGCAAGATCACAAGAAGAAAAACATTATTGAGAGGAAATTATAGAAGACTTAAGAGAAAGTAGGTAATATGATGGTGATCAGTGGGAAGACTCAATATCACTAATATGTAGCTCCCCTAATTCATCTGTAGATTTATAAGCAGTTCAGCAGATGCATATGTGAATATGTAAATTGATAAGTTGATTACAAAATATATATGTAAATGCAAAGGGACAAGAATTGTCAATACAGTCTTGAAGGAAAACATAGCATGGGGGAAGAACTGCTCAGGTGGTTAGTAAAATTTATTTTAAGTCATATTAATTAAAACAGTGAGGCATTGGCCTGAGAGTAACATATAGACCAGTGGAACAGAGTATTAAGGACTTTGTGTAGTGCCTTGGGAAGGACTTATCTTTTTAATAATTGATGCTGGCCATATGGAAAAAATTCTTATACCATCTATAACATTTCTACATGGATTATAGAATGTGAAAGAAAAAATAATTAGCCTTCTAAAACATGATAGAGTAGAATATTTTCATAACCTTAAGGTAGGGAAAGATCTCTCATACAGGACATAAAAAGCTTAACCAGTTTTTTGATCTTTGCAGTTTGAATGATGAGGTTCCTCTTGGTCATCAGAGACTGTTAGCACGTGAGAATGTGTACACATGAATAATGGCTGTTGACTTCTTGAACGCTAGTTTTCAGAGTGATTGCACCATACATTTTTTAGTGCTGTTACTCAGTATGAACCCAGGGGTATAGCATTATGGAAACATTGATATAGCTTCATCTAAAAGTATCTGGAATCCAAAATCTAGTTATCAAACTTTGCCAAGTTTTCTAACACTACATGTAATTTCCTTGTGGAATTTCCTTTAAATGGTGACAGTGCATTTAAAAAAATATTTAATATGTTTATTCTTTATGTAATTTTATGCTTAAAAATTGTGTGAACGGGCTGAGTGCAGTGGCTCATGCCTGTAATCCCAGCACTTTGGGAGACTGAGGCTGGTGGATCACCTGAGGTCAGGAGTTTGAGACCAGCCTGGCTAACATGGCGAGACCCCATCTCTACTAAAATGACGAAAATTAGATGGGGAAGGTGGTGCACACCTGTAATCCCAGCTACTCAGGAGGCTGAGGCAGGAGAATCGCTGGAACCCAGGAGGCGGAGGTTGCAGCGAGCTGAGATCACACCACTGCACTGCCCAGCCTGGGCAACAAGAGCGAAACTCCGTCTCAAAAAAAAGAAAAAACAAAATTATGTGAATTATTTGAATATAATTCAGGTTTTAGAAGTCATGTGACTTTCTCAGGAGGAATTCCGTACTAAATTTGCTTTGCACAGCCACAGACTCCTCAGTGACCCCAGTAGTCACACTTTCTTTTCCACTGCCCTTGTTCGTTGTTAAGGTAAAATTACATTGGTGAATCCACTTCACAAGGATATTGCCAGAGTTGTGTGCTCACAACTCTTAATATAACTTGAACTATGCAGGGCAGTACAAAGAGAATGGCCAAAAGATTTGTGTTCCAGTGGATTATATCAAGTGTCAGCTACAATACAACTATAATCTAGAATGTGAATTGGGTATTGACTTTAGTATATAGTCAAGCTGCTTCTGATTTTTTAGTGTCTGGAATTTTTCCAAACAAAACTAAAAAGTAAAATTTGTACTCAATATAGTCAGAATTTCTAGTAATTGCTTTGTGTGTATGAATCTGCTTCTGTGCTGCACAAATTCATGAGTATACATGAGTAGAAAAAGAAAACTAATTCCTGAATTCACCATTTCATGTAAGGATTATGATGGAGTTGGGGGATACTTTTAGTCTTCCAATCACTGCCCATATTTCTTTATCGCTGCCCCCAACAGTTTGAAAAATGTGTCAGAAAATGAGCAAATTAATGTTACTTTATTCAAGTAATATATAAATATAGGAAACCTGGACATTGGTTTAGCCAGGGAACATGGATGATGTGCAAATTCAAGAAACATTGTAGCTTGTAATCCCAGCACACTGGGAGGCCAGGCAGGTGGATTGCATGAGCTCAGCAGTTTGAGATCAGTCTGGGCAACGTGACAAAACCTCATCTCCACAAAAAAATACAAAAAATTAACCGGGGGTAGTGGCACCTGCTTGTAGTCCCAGCTACTCTGGAGGCTGAGGTGGGAGGATCACTTGAGCCTGAGACGTGAAGGTTGCAGTGAGCAAAGATCGCATAACTGCCCTCCAACCTAGGTGACAGAGTGAGACCCTGTGTCCAAAAAAGAAAAAACAAAAGGAAACATCATAGAAGGAAGGTTTTGCCTGTGTAATTAATACTGTGATTTGTAAATGTGTTACTTTTTAGGTTTGATTAATGGGTATTTCCTATGATAATCTAGTTATTTCATATGAGGACCAAAAAAGAGATTTCACTAAACAATGTGCTTTCAGAAATCTGTCAGCTTTTGAATCCTATAAAGTTTTACAAAACACATTGGTTTGTCTAATTTTCTTTAGTCTATGATTTTATTTTACTTTTTTGAGACAGGCTCTTGCTCTGTTGCCCAGGCTGGAGTGCAGTGGCATGATCTTGGCTCACTGTAGACTCTGCTCCCTGGGCTCAAGCGATCCTCCCACCTCAGCCTCCTGAGTAGCTGGGACTACAGGTGTGTGTGTGTGACCACTCCTGGCTTGTTTTTACATTTTTGTAGAGACAGGTCTTGCTATATTGCCTAGGCTGGTCTTGAATTCCTGAGCTCAAGTGATCCTCCTGCCTTGGCCTCCCAAAATTCTGGGATTACAGGTGTAAGCCACTGCACCCAGCTGAGCTTATGATTTTAAAAACTAAGCTGTCTCATATATGCATATTGTTTTTAGTGACCCGTAGCCTTCATCCATGTCTAGTGGTGTTATAGTTATTACTTACAAATGGGATTGTTGAAATTAAGCTCATAGTAAAATATATTTAATTTGATTTTTTTTTTGACTGGGGCTAGCTCTTTTTTATTTCAGTGCTAGTTTAAGAACTCCATTGTCATGACATTTAGGATTACTCCAGGAAAGGTTGATAATCTCCTCCCTGCACCCTTACCACCACTGTCACCATGCAACCCTACCTCTTGTAGAAACAAGCAAACATACAAACAAAACCCCCAAAACCAATTATGGTGAAATATAAAACACAACAACATGATGCCTTTTAACTTTTTGTATTAAAAAAATAAACTGAAACTTTGAGAATGGATTATTTTGACCTTAGCAATAGTATTACAATTATAAATCATGTTGAAATTTTGTCCTTAAGCAAGAAAGAAAAAAACAGCTAATTATTCAATTCTTTCTCAGGAAAAAAAAAAGAACCTGAAAAAATAGAGGAAGGAATTAATAAATATAAGAACATTAAGCAGTAATATATAAACAATATAATTAATGAATTTAAAATATGGTTATTGATTGCCAGTGCTAATCAAGAATAAAGGAGAGAAGAAAGACACGCCTAAAAATGTAAGAAATGAGAGATGAAATATCTTTTAGAGAGGAGATTTTTCCTTAAATTTAAGACTTTTTAACATGATAAAAGATATGGGAAAAATAATGAAATGAATTTTATAGGAAAATATAAATTATTAAAATTAATTCAAGAAAATCTAAATAGGCTAGTGACCACAGAAATAACAGTTACAAAACATTAGTAACAATTGTGAAAACAAAGTTCTGAAAGGCTCTTTTTCTTCATCATTTTATAAGCCTTTAGTGAATGGATGATTTTTGTGCCATTTAATTTTCGGAGTGCTTTGAAAAAGGTGAGATAGTTCCTAATCGAATTGTAAAGTTATCAAAGGCCTGAAAAAAACACACACACACACACACAGAAAAGAAAAAATTATAGATTGAACAAGTGCCAGGCATTAATAAAATTCTACCTGGAACCATTAACAGACATATTTAGCTGTGAAACACTTGAAGTGTTCCAATTAATAATGGCATTTCCTGTATTCACTTTGAAACTATGCTGTACTTAAAAACATTTTTTTTAACTTTTAAAAGTTCAGGGGTACACGTGCAGGTTTGTTATATGGGTGAACTCACGCCACGGGGTTTGTTGTTCGGATTATTTCATCATCCAGGTATTAAGCCTAGTACCCATGAGTTATTTTTCCTGATCTTCTCCCTCCTCTCACCCTCCACCCTCTGGGAAGCCCCAGTGTCTGTTGTTTTCCTCTGTATGTCCATGTGTTCTCATCATTTAGCTTGCACTTTCAAGTGAGAACATGCAGTATTTGGTTTTCCTGTTCCTCCAGTAGTTTGCTAAGGATAATGGCCTTCAGCTCCATCCATGTCCCCACCAAGAATATGATCTTGTTCTTTTTTACGGCTGCATAGTATTCCACGGTGTATACATAGCACATTTTTAAAAACCCAGTCTACTATTGATGGACATTTAGGTTGATTTCATGTCTTCTATTGCGAATAGTGCTGCAGTGAACATATGCGTGCATGTGTCTTTATGATAGAGTTATTTACATTTCTTTGGGTATATACCCTGTAATGGGATTGCTGGGTTGAATGTTAGTTCTGTTTTTAGTTCTTTGAGGAATTGCCATACTGCTTTTCACAGTGTTTGAACAATTTATATGCCCACCAGCAGTGTGTAAGCATTCTTTTTTCTCCACAACCTTGCCAGCATGTTTTATTTTGACTTTTTAATAATAGCCATTCTGACTGGTGTGAGATGATATCTCACTGTATTTTGATGTGCATTTCTCTAATGATCAGTGATGTTGAGCTTTTTTCTCATATGCTTGTTGGCCACACGTATGTCTTCTTTTATAAAGTGTCTGTTCATGTCCTTTGCCCACTTTTAATGGGGTTGTTGTTGTTTTTTTTTCTGCAAATTTGTAGATTTAAGTTACTAATATGTGTTGGATATTAGACCATTGTTAGATGTATAGTTTGCAAAAACTTTCTCCCATCCTGTAAGTTTGTCTGTCTACTCTGTTGATAGTTTATTTTGCTGTGCAGAAGCTCAAAAACAAGTTTATTTTTTATCTCACAGGTAAGAGTGCAAGCTAGCACTGTCTCACAGAAATATAGTGTGAGTATCACGTGCACTTTCAAATTTTATAATAGCCACATTTAAAAAACTTAAACAGATAAATTAGTGTTAATAATATGTTTTATTTAATTCAAAATATCCAAATGAGTGCTTACCATATGGTAGTGGCCCTCTTCCAAGTGTTTCTGTGCCAGGGGCTGCTGTGGTCAGACAGGTGGGAGCTGTGGAGACAGGGCTGTGCTGCTGGCTCTGCCCGCTGTGGCTCCCAGTGCTCTGGCTTTGCTTCTCTCTAGCTCCATCCAGCTTATGAAGGTGTTGAGACTGCTGAGATGAAATCAGGAAAGCAACTAGGATCTTATGAGGTATATTCGAGTGCTTTTCCTACAAGATTGCTTGAATAGTAAAGATTTGCAGGAGCCCTGTTAAGGGACAGGAAAACTGAGGATTTTTCAACAGTGATGTAACCTTGCTTTGAACAGAGAGGTCTGACTTGTGAAGCCATGTAAGCTAGCTGCAGAGGACAGCTGTCACTGTGGGCAAACCATCTCTGCCTCCTCGAGCTGAGGTGCTGAGTGACGGCAGGAACCTTCTGCTTGCTGCAGGACCCCTTTGTCTTCACATCACTCTTTTAGACTCATGAGGCTTGATGAAACCCCAGAGACGTCCACAGATGTCTTTCTAGCCATAGTGCTGTCTTTATTAGTACTTTATTAGAACCAAGGGAACTTTAGAAAGTGTCATATGGATGCTTATGAATATTTAGGTCATAGTCAGTCTTCACTTTACCTAAACATTTTGGAGGGTGTTTGTGAATCATACCATAATTTATTTAGTGTCTTAATTTAAGGAAACGAGTCCGAGTGGAAAGTAATTATAGTCATCAGCAGGCTTTGTTAGTTGTTACTGGGTCTTTAAAAAATATTAAGTTTCATGTGTTTTTGATTTCTTTTGAAAATGATAAAGGGTTTGAATCTAATAAGAGCACTTCTCAAGATAGGTTCTAAAGACTACATACATCAAAATTGTCTGGACTCCATGTTGAAAATTCAGGTTCCTTGGTACTAAGCCACAACTTAAAAAAAATTTTTTAAGCTACAACTTTTTAAATTGGAATTTAAAAATTGGACTGTCAATAGATGAGCCCTGTAAATGTGTTTTGGAACAATTTTCCCATGTAATTCTTTCGCTGTAAGCTTTGGAGAGAGGTGTATAGCCTGTAAAGGTGACTCTGGCCACACTACGGAGGGTGCCCAGGGTATGGGGTGGGGACGAGTTTGAGTGCAGGTGGGGTTGGGAGGAAGTGAATTTGAGAGATACTGGGAAGTAGAACAGAGGAGACCTGCTGATGGGTCAGCCATTGGGCATTAGGAGAAGAAAAGAGGCCAGGAAATTTCCTTAGCCGTTGTGGATAATTTTTAATAGTCTTTCCTTTTTCTTAACTGTTGAATACTTTAAGGTATTCACTGTTAAAGGCAATGCTTGTTAAAGTTAAGTACAATCAGTGGAACACCCGTAAATGCAAGTTCATGTAGCTTTCAAGCAAGCAAACTTAAAATGTTTTTCTTTACTGCCTTTTCTAAAATTATATGTCATTTTGTCATGATTTCCCACAGTTATCTCAGGGTTATCTCCTTCAGACCCAAAGTCTCACTTATTGATCAGGGCGTTTGACCCAAATTTTAAGTGATATCTTTTCCATTAAAGCGATTTCCTTGGATGGGATGGAATATTACACAGTCCATGTGCATAGGCATGTGGGAAATGGTCACATTTGTGGGTGGCATTGTCACCTCTGCTCTTGGACACATATCTTCTTTTTAAAAAGGTATTTGTTTACTTTATCTCCACTTCTGTCCATGCTGCTATTTGTAATAGACTTTCTACCATTTTTACCTGAAACTTTTCTAGGAGTTTCCAAATTTATGTGTTTTTACAATGTCATATGGTATAAAATTGATGTTTAAAAAATGTATCAAGCAGTATGTTCAGCAGACACCCCTGAGCCCTACTGCACTCCTGACCTCCACCTCCCCATGACCCCACCTCCCCTTGACCCTCACCTCAGCCTGCTCCCCACCTCTTCTTCAGGCCCAGGATGGGAGGGTGAGGATCAGGGATTAGGTCAGCTGTCTGTAGCACATGTTAGTGGATAATGTTTTAAAAGTCGAAACAGTTCAATGGTTTGTTTTCTTTAAGCCCAGTCAAAATGGCCTTGGTGTCAGAATGGCTCTGTAAAAAATGTCTCATGCCATATAGTTTAATTAAATGGTCTGAGATAAATGTCATGGGTGTTACTATCATTACCTGTGGTCCATTAGTGAACACACCACTCTCCAGGTGACTGAAATAGTCACATTCTCTTGCATTTCAGTTTTTTCATTTATTACCATTTTTTGGGCATACCTATAACAAGTACTGCCTTAGGCATTTATTTATCTAATCTTTTTTTCACCTTTTACTGCAGGCTTTGCAGTTATTAGAAATTCTGTTTATATATATGTCGGCATATGTGCATTTTTGTATACATATTTACATGCATTTGTACATGGATGTAATATCCTTTTGAGTATTAGTTAGCTTTCTACCTTAGAACCACAGAGCAAGAATTCTGCAAGTAAAGTTGTCTCTGTAGGGGAGAAAAAGTAATGTCCTTTCTCATCTATTACAAGGTTCATTGCTAAGGCCCCTAAAATAAAAGATTAATAAAAGAAAAGTGTAGACGTTTATTTGCTGTCAATTTTAAGTTACACGGCAGTCTTCAGAAATGAAGACCCAAAGAAACAGGGAAACCTGTGTATTTTTGTGCTGTGTTTGATGAAGAAATAGACAGTCTACACAAGTGTGATTGGAGGATAACAGGGTTTGATCTCTTTGATCAGAGATAAGGGTGTTCTTTTCCTCTGGGTATTGGGAGGACACCTCTGGAAGGAGAGTTTTATGACCTGCTTCGGGGGAGAAGGGTGAGGAGAAGGTGAGAGTGACCTTCCTGCTTCTGCTGTTTTCTCAAATGTCAGTGTGCCATATTTTTGGGCAATGTGTCCTAAACCTCATCATCTCCTATTGCCTCTACTTTCTCTTCATAAAGTCCTCTACAGCTCTTACAGGCTGATATATTTTACTTTAAAAATTAATGTACATTGCTGCTGGAAAGGAACATATGAATAATGAATACAAAGATAATGTTATTAATGTGCTTTCTATAAAGAGCCATCCTTTCTGATAGCAAGTAAGCCATGTAGATCATATAACTGTTTCCTAACCCATGTTCTGGATAGTAACTAGCCTCTAATTTCCCACAGTCACTGATTCTTTCTCTAAAAAGCATGATCATAAAATTGTGTTTTATTACACAGGGTTTAAGCCAAATTTATGATATGCCCACCACCTGGTGCTGATCAACATTGATGAATGTTCTTATTGGCCCAGTGTTGCATTGAGCCCCTACTTTAAATGCATCTGTGGACATAGCAGCCTACCTGCCCTTTGCCACTCCCCCTTCTTTGTAGAGAGGTACAAGGGTGGTCTGGTGTGCTCTCTCACTTGGGCAATGAGGAGCCATTGGGCTTAGAGGAAGTACAGTTATGTGCTGCATAACCGCATTTTGGTCAATGAAGGACTGGATATACAGTGGCACCATAAGATTATAGTGGTGCTGAAAAGTTTCTATCACCTAGTGATGTTGCCATTGTAATATTGTAGCACAACATGTTACGCAGGTGTTTGTGACGCTGGTGTAAACAAACCTACTGCACTGCCAGTGGTATAGAAGTCTAGCGCATACAGTTATGTACTGTACATAATACTTGATAATAAATGACTATACTACTAGTTTATGTGCTTATTATACTTTTTCATCATTATTTTAGACTGTGCTTCTGCTTATATTAAAAGTTAACTATAAAACAGCTTTAGGCGGGTCTTTCAAAAGGGATTTCAGAAGAAGGTGTTATCATAGGAGACGACAGCTCCTTGCATATCACTGCCCCTGAAGACCTTCCAGCAGGAGAAGACGTGGAGGTAACAGACAGTGATATTGATGTTCCTGACCCTATGTAAGCCTAGGGTAATGTGTGTGCTCGTGTCTTCATTTCTAACAAAAAATCTAAAAAGTTCATAAAAATTAGAAAAAAAACCTTATAGAATAAGGATATAAAGAAAGAAAATATTTTTTGTTTAACTGTATAGTGTGTTTACATTTTCAGCTATGTAATATTACAAAGGAATCAAAAAATTAAAAATACTAAAAAGTTTATAAAGTAAAAAATTTATGGTGAGCTAAGGTTAATTATATTTTTGTGACTTTAATATAGCCTAAGTGTACAGTGCTCATAAAGTCCATATTAGTCCATAAAGTTCATGAAGTCCATATTAGTGTGGATTAATGTCCTAGGCCTTCACATCAACTCACCACTCACTCACTCTCACCCAGAGCAACTTCCAGTCCTGCAAGCTCCATTCATGGGAAGTACCTTATACGGATGTACCATTTTTCATCTCTTGTACTGTACTTTTACTGTACTTTTCGTGTTTATAAACACACATACTTACCATTGTGTCACAGTTGCCTACAGTATTCAGTACAGCAGCCTGCTGTACAGGTTGGGAGCCTAGGAGCAATAGGCTCTACCATACAGCCTAGGCGTATAGTAGGCTGTACCATCCAGGTTTATGTAAATTCACTCCATGATGTTTGCACGATGAAATTGCCTAGTGACACATTTCTCAGAATGTATCCCCGCTGTTATGTGATACATGGCTGTATGTTAGCGGAATTCAAGCACTCCAGTCCACAAATCTAAATGAGGGACATATTCCCAAAGAAAAACATTAGTTAAGGTTAGTGTGCCTTCACGTTGCCCCTGCCTTCTGCCATTAATGAGCAACTATATGTCCAGAGTGCACAGCAGTTGAAACTCCAAATAACCCTCATGTTTTTTAACTTCAAATTTCATTTTGTTAATAAAAGTTGGAGAAAAAATTTATGTGCTTATGTTACTCAGCAGTCACTGATCCAAGGAGCATATTTCGGGAGGAATTAATGCTTTGCTTCTCATAGGAGTCTGAATTGGGAAGAATACTTTTGAGAAAAGTTATATGAAGAGCTGTTTTTTTTTGCAGTGTTTTAAAATATATATTTGTTTTTCTGTATGAGCAGGATATTGATTTGACATATCAAAGAATGGGTCTTGCTGCTAGCTGAAGGAACACTGAAGTGTGCGGGCCCAGTGGAGGTGGGGACCAGGAGTGAAGGCTAAAGTCGACAGTGTGAAAGCATAAGCTCCCTCAAAACAAGCCTGCATTCATTCTTGAGCGCGGCTTTTCTGGCAGTCTTTCCAGCTTTTACCAGTATAGTTTGCTTATCAAAGCACTTTATCAGTGGGGAAGGGATGTGGGTTAACCACTTCACTTAGCTCTAGCTAGCTGTCCCAGTTCGCAGTCTGTCAGCAAACAGCTGCTTTTCAGCATGTACACCCTGTACTGTGCAGCTGATGCAAGGCTGGGACAAAACCAGCTTTGTGTCAGGAGGTGGGGATGGCAAAGGGGGGCGATCTTCAATGAAAAGGGACCGAGCCCAACTTCAGGCTTTAATTTATAAGGGCGCTTTGGTGAGCTAGTTTTTTCACCACCACCTCCCCCCCAACCCTCTTTATTTCAAGGTTCAAGGTTAACTTTAAAAGTATGGTGTACCAAGGCAGGTAAACTGGAGATATTGTGGCAGGGAATAGTTAAAATGTTTATCTTTGGAAACAACCATTATACTAGTACTACTTACAGTACTTATTTATCTATTTATTTATTTATTTTTACCGCTTTTCTCTTTCCCCTGCTCTCTTGTCTTCATTTGCTCCTTGTCTTTATGTCTTCCTTTCAGGCTCCTTTAGAAACCATGTGCAGGTTGCCAACACCTTTGAGACCTTAGTGCTAAGGAAAGTGCGGCTTGAGCGGTTGTAAACACTAGAGAGCAGCAGAACCAAATCCCAAGCAACCACTTCTTTCTATTCACAGCATCCAGGCGCTTTGTTATGTTACAGCATAATTTGTAGAATTTTCCCCTCCCAAAGACATAATTTGAGGTGAACTATGACGTAGACATTGATGCCATCACCGATGTTTGGTTTCTTGTTCTGGGCACAAGATAGGATTGTACTTCTCGTCTGTTTGAACTCAGACTTACCAAACCAGAGTTTTCTTTCCTGCTACTCCCTCCCCCATTGTGAGGGACATGTGTCAGATGCTGCTTCTCTGTCCTGGGAGTCCAGAATGAGCAGGACCCCCATGCACAGCTGACTAGTGAGGGAACTGCAGTGTGAACCAGCGTACTTCAGTGGGAATGGTTTATTTGGAGGCTCTGGTTACAACAACGTCGTGTAGTTTTTTGACTGATTCTACAGTGTGAGAACTTAATCTAGTTTACCTCCTTTTTGGACCATTTGTAACTCTCCACTAAGATTTTTATCTGTTTCCCACCTTCTTTTACTTGTACAAGAAGCAGTTCTCATTGAGGGTGAAGTTGAAGGGGCATTGTCAGTTCACGGGAGAGCTCCAAGTGTATGAAGTGTTGATACCCAGACAGTTTGCCTGACTGAACCATTTCTTCAGCTCCCTAAGTGCAGTTACCTTTATTAGAGAAATGTCATTTATAATCATGATGCTACCAAGGGCTCCCTCCTTTTATCTCACAAGTTCAGGCTGTTCCTACCTCATTACCTTTCGCCTCCAAAAGATAACTCCAGGTACAACAGGAATAGAAATTAGGATGTATCTACTGAGCACTTATTTAAAACCTTACTTACGAAAGTGTGTTTTATGGTTCAGGATAGCATAAGGTGAGCTACGCCACGTTAATTTGGAGAATACTGCTTACCATGCAGATTTCACAGTACATATCAGCATGCCATAGGCTCTGAAGTCTTTCCGTGCAGCTTGTTTTATCTTGTTTATGGTTTACTTTTCCCATAGAATATGCTTCGTGAGGATAACTGCTTATTCTCAGTATATCCTATATTTACTTTCTGACATTTATAGGAAGAGAATTATCATTAATCAGCATATATGGTCTTACTGTTTAACACTGTCTTGGCATTTTGCCTGGAGCCCCATTTATTTGGGACACACAAGTATGATAATGGGTAACGCCAGGAATTTCTATATGCCTTGTATGGATTGCTAAAGCCTAGAACAGTTGATGTACTAAGTGATCCCTGGGACAGACCTTCCTGGGAAGAAGCATTGATTACTAGGTGCCAACAAGCAGTAAGGCTCTGAAAATCAGTGATTTTTTTTTTCCAGTTAGCAAACCTATTAATGAATCAATAACTCAGTTTATTCCCGAGATCTGCGTTTATGAAAGACAACTTCATAATCTGTTATACTGATGTGTTTAGATCTTTATCCAGCCAAGACCTAATTTATCAACACCTTGTTATCTTAAATACTTTACACAGAAGGGTCATAAATCCTCCTTAAAAGGGCTTTATTTCACCATTTAATTAAGTCTCCCGATTTCCTTCATTGACTTGAAAAGGGAGTTCAGGGTTGAGTTGATTTTCATTAGGCACACAAATTCTTACATTAAATTAAAGTTAGGTGAAAGGAGAACACTGTCATCTAATTCTTAGAGGTGCAATAAATGACGGCTGAGACAGTCGCCCAGGCCAGGCTGCCCTGCGACATGAGATTACTTGTGGAGAGGATTTTAAAGTACTCTTTTGGCTGGGCGCGGTGGCTCATACCTGTAATCCCAGCACTTTAGGAGGCCAAGGTGGTTGGATCACTTGAGGTCAGTAGTTCAAGACCAGCCTGGCCAACATGGTGAAACCCCGTTTTTACTAAAAATATAAAAATTAGCCGGGCATGGTGGTGCACACCTGTAATCCTAGCTGCTCAGGAGGCTGAGGTGGGAGAATCACTTGAACTTGGGAGGTAGAGGTTGCAGTGAATTAAGATTGCACCATTGCACTCCAGCCTGGGTGACAGAGCGAGACTCCATCTCAAAAAATAAATAAATAAATAAATATAAATAAATAAGTTACTCTTTTACTCTGTTGTTCTGTGTTATTTTCTGCTTCCTAAATAACTTGACCATAGGTAATAATATTGATATAATTGACACAAATTTGAGCTTTTATTTAGGAGAGAAGTCTCTTGGTATGTATGATGGGGGATACAGAAATGAATGATAAGACAGAGAAATAGGTCAAATGCCAAATAGAAAGTAAGTGCCATTTGAGACACAAGATGTGGGAGATGTATAGTGGTGAATCCTTGGAAAATCAGGGAAGACATATCCTGATATCATGAGGAGCTGACTCATGAGTTGGGTTGGCCTTGAAGAATGGATAAGCTTTGAGCTCTGGGAAATGGAGAGAAGGGCATCTAGGCAGGTCAGGCACAGCATTCAACATACCGAGGAGAGAAAACTTGGCACATGAGGGGAGAACAGTTAATTTGACATCTTTGTTAATGATTAACACCTTTCATAATGAAGCCTTCCCTCCACATGGTGTAGCCTGGCTTGAGGCCATCTGAGAGGAGACAGTGTTCAGGGGGAGGGTTCTGTTTATGAATTGTGGAGCAATGTGATGTTGTGTGTGTGAAGAATTTTATTCAGCTATAAGTTAGAGGCCTGAAAACAGCTTAAATCATTTTTTCTTATGTGGTAAGAAGGCTAGAGAAGGTAGACTAGAGATGGTGTAGCAGTTCCATAGGGCTAGCAGGGGTGGCAGCTTCTTCTTTTTCCCCCCAACCATCCTCAGGCTGGGTTTCTTCCTCATGGTCTCAAAAGTGGTTGCTTGACCTTGGGAATGATGCCTACCTTCCAGGCCAGAAACGGATTGGCTGGCTTCTCCTATCTGCTTCTGCATTTGGTGTGTTTTAATACGTATCAGGTAAGCTCTGGACAACTTCACTGTATACGTGTGAGAATATAAGAACAAAAAAGGCAAATGATGTGTTTGTATTTTTTGATAATAGTTTTGGCTTCGCAGACACCCCAGAAGTGTCTTGGACACTCTCTGGACTTCCAGACCGTACTTTGAGAACTGTTGTTCTAGATCACTGTTGGCCTGTGAGCCAGTTGCAACCCAGAGGTAAAAAGGAATGTTACGTTTTTTAATAACAGCGTTGTTGACATTAAAATCCACATACCATAAATTCAACTATTTAAAGTACAACATTCAGTAGTTTTTAGTTTATTCCTAGAGTTGCGTAACTATCATCACAGTGAATTTTAGAGCATTGTCATCACCCCGAACAGAAAGCTCATACCCATTGGCACCAACATTCCTTTTCTCTCCTACCGCCCCAGCCCCTGGCAACCACAAATGTACTTTGTCTCTGTAGATTTGCTCATTCTAGACGTTTCATGTAAATGGAATAATACAGTATGTAATCTTTTTTTAATAGGAGTTGTTACATTTTTAAATGTTTGTAAAAGAAAAACAGCAAAGATGATTATACAACAGAGATGATATGTGGCCTGGAAAGTTTAAAATAGTTACTGTCTGTCCGTAAACTAAAGAAGTTTACTGACCCCTGTTATAGAAGATAAGTGCACATATTTAATATTTTTGTACGTGTCCCTTATATACACACACATATATGCATATACATATATCTATTTATCATTAAATACCTTTAATCCTGTACCAGTATATTCTGTGTGTTAGAAATCATGTGACTAAAAAATTGAAATGGATGACATAACAATGACTATGAAAGTTTTAATATTTTTTTCAGTATCCCCATGGGTTCTTTTATATGCCTCCGGACTGGTACACAGTCTCCTTCGGATCTGATTCCAGAATATTTACAAATAGGCCATATTAGAAACATTTTGGCAATTGTGAAAAGTACAGTTTCAACACCTCCATCTTAGAGCTACTGAAACATGTTCTCTGGAGGTTAAACCCAAGAATCTGCATTTTAGAAAGTACCTCCAGTGATTCTTTGTGCAACTTAGTTTAGGAACGACTCATCTGTACTGTTAGGATCTAAGCTCATCACAGGGCAAAAGGGGCAATAAAAGCAATGGCGGTGAACACCTGATAGTTTAATCCTTAAGTAACTAATTTCCAGAAGCCTTCTTATATTCTGAAAGCATTCTTTTAAGAAATAAATTTATTCTTATAAATCAAACATTGTTAATTTTTTCCTTAGGAAGTTACTTACAAAAGGTTTAAGAAGACAGAAGACTATTTGGTTCAGTGATAAAGTGAAGGATTTGTCCTATGCCTGACCAGTTTCAGTATACAACTTTTTCAGAAAGTCTGGAAAGATTTCCTTAGGCCCTTGGTCAAAAATAATTGAGAACCCTCCCAATCAATTAATATGATAGATGTTTAAGGGAAATATTGCTCTAGCTTTTTAATTTAAGAGCAGTATAACATGATACTTTGGAAACTTCTTGCTGCCTTCTTTACTCCTAACCACATGATTGGGTTTGTGGTGTCTTTCAGCAATTATTATGCATTGGTTAATGAATCATTGCATTATTGATTCAGTGATTATGCAATTATTATTTCATTGGTCATATGGTTTGGCTCAAACTATAAATGAAGGAAGTATCAATTTAAAATAATCTGGGATTGGAAACTACTTGAATTGCAAAGACTTCATTTTCCTTCATGATAATTCATTCAACTGTTTGCATGATTTAACATACTTTTTCCTTTGAAAAGATAATTTAACTACATGTTACATGTTTATTTGCATTTTATGCTTTCAATTTAGAATTTTTAAAAATGAAATTTGAGAAGTTCCAGATTGGTGTTAGAAGTTTTCTTTGCATCCTCTCCTTAGAGGAATTAGTAAGTTACATGGCAAATCAGTAAGAGGAACTGTATTGTATCTATCACCACAGGTTGTATTCCAAATGCTACCTCTGTTTTATATGGTGACTTTCTGGAAGACGTTTTAGCTACCTGTGAATTAGCAGTTTTATAATGATGAATGGAGATACTACTGCTACCAGTTAGGTTACTGGTTAAATCAGACTCCTTGTAAGCAAATTACCTTTTTGTTTTATGCCTCTCTCTATATTTTCATAAGCTTTCTAAGGGCCGACATCTTTGTTTTGTTTTCTGATATATACCCAAGAACCTAAAACAATACTTGTTGTGTAGTAGGCATCAGTAAATATTTAATAAATGAATGGATTCCAGATCTCATTTTGAAAGGGATTTAAGGAGACTTAAGGATTGTGCAAATACATACAATATGCCAAGAGAAAATAAATTTAATATTGTGGTACCAAAAATGAGATTAGTACACATACAAATTATATCCATGAAATTCTGTAGATTTCCTGAGAAGGCTTGCAGATTTGGCCCTGAGATTTCCAGCTGTATAGGATTCCATAAGAAGAAGATAAAAGACAAATTTGATTTATTGTCTCTTAAGGCATCCTTGACCTGGGCTACTTTCCTTTCAAATGCTTGACATTGATTACAGAGAGACTGAGGAATAGCTGTATGTCTCCAGTTCAAACCTATCACCAGCACCAGAAAAACAGTTCACAGTATATGTCTTCCCGATGATGAACTAGCAACTGTTGATGGGCAACTGGATACTATCTTTTGCTGGGATTTTATTCCACCCTTTGGTCATTGAGAGGTTCTAACTTCTACACTTGTTCTTTATGGATCTTTGTGTGTGCCCATTTTCAATAATAAGTTCTGATTATACAATTATAAATTTTTAATATAGTTTAAGACTTAGGAGAAATTAGGCAGTAATAAAAATGGCTAATGTTTTCATAAGGCATTTCACTAAAATGTTAATTGTATTTTCAAACTTTTAAAACTATAGAGGCCAGAAAGTGGTGACCATGGGCCTAAAATATTTTCTAAAGTTACAACTTAGTTGTTAGCATTTAGAAATCAGAAGAAAGTACAGGAAACATTTAGGCTTTAAGGTACCCGCCAGGCTTGCCCACAGTCACTCTGCTCCTCAGCTGCCTGGCCTCTGGGGCAGTTCAGTTTCACACACCAGGAATGCCCTGAGCCCAGATTTCCTACCTCTGTTTTTTACTTCTGTTTTTGCTTCTGTTTCTTTCCCCAGATGTCCTCATAGCTTTCTTCTTCACTTTCTTCCAGGGACTCAAATATCACATTTTCAGTGAGACCATCTCTGGTCACCCTATCTCAGATTGTATCCCCATCCCCACCCTGACACACACACCCTTTTCAACTTGATTTTTTTTTTTTTCTCTAAGCACTTACACTGGTCTATACATTTTACTTATTTATCTTGTTGGGTGTCTCTCCTCTCCTGTTATCCAGGTAACTCTGTGAGGGCATCCATTTGTAGTTGTTTGGTTCACTGCTACATCTTTAGTATCTAGGATACCTAGAACACAGAAGAGGTTGGGAAACTGATTGAATGAGTGAATTTCCAGCTTTTGAGAAATCACCAGCACCAAGCCCAGTGGCACTCCTGTGTGGAGGCCTCAGCCTGGGCAAAACAGCTGAAAGGGAAAAGAGCTCTCTAGTTCTTTGCTTTTCTGAGGAGCTTGTTTGAAATTCAAAATCCATGGCTCCACCCCAGAACTACTGCATCAGGATGTGCGTGTTAACAGGGCGATTTCTGTATGCACATTAAAGTGTGAGAACCATTGTTTGAGTTTACCGTAGCTGCACCTGGCCTGCTTTATGTATTTATACTACATGCTTGCATTTGAATTTGTGACCCTGGTGTAGAGAGTAATGTGATCATCTTTACGTGTGAGAGAGTTGATACAGTAATAATTTATTTTGTTTATAAAAGGAATTGGAGAAAATCCTTGTTATTGTATTGGTGTTGAGTCACAAAGATAATACTTGTGTTCTAGGCTTTTTCACATTTTAGTGAAACATATGCTATATATCACTATGTCCCAAGCAATACATTTTGAGCTACAGTATAGCTACAATTTAGCGAACCACTTTATAACAGTTTTACTATGTTTATCTAGCGCACACGGCCTTGTTTGGAGCCAATGCATAGTTTGTCAACTGTACTACTTAAAAAAAATCTGTTACCTTCACCCTCAGAAAGTAATAGTTCCAAAGGAACTGTTATAGAGTGAGTCTTATAAATTCTTCTGTGTGCACATGTCATTCATCCCCAGAGGTCATTTAGAGCCCTGAGACTTACTGTGGCCAAATGTGTTGTACAAACTGCTGCAAATCCTTGGGAAATTTAAATAAGAAAGGGTTTTATATGCATTTTATGTAGGGAGCAAGGTCCATGTAAAATAGAAGTTGGGACAACATTGGAAGTTGTGTGCTCCCTCTTAACCTCGTCCTACAAATTCGCAGATGCTGGAGAAAGAACAGCAAAATTTCCTCCAGGTGCTTTACAACCACCAGATTCAGATTTGCCTCCCTTATCTTTTTCTTGGCTCTCCAGCATCACAAATTTGACACAGGTGTTCCCATGCACCACCCCCACACATACTTTAAGAAGATGTGGGCATATATTATCTTTGTCCACTTTTAATTTCGAAATGATCTTGCAAAGACCAAACCCACAGACTCTTGTGGAGGAGATGGACAGTAACCAGCAGTGATGGATCTGTCTGGTTGTGCAGAGCATGCTGTGGGAACCACATGGGCTGTGTGTTGATCTCTGTGTGGGCACCCGCTTCCCTCCTCCTCCAACCTGCCCCCTTCTCTGGACTGTCTTCATATCACTGGGAGAAAGGCAGTTCACGAGTTGGATGTAATGCATGCTATCTGTTTTTATTGTAGAGGTTTGACTAGGACCGAGTAAAATCCTTAGGAGGCCCCCAGCACAGAAGATAGTATTACATGCTGCTCCTGTACACCCCAATATATAATTCAAAATGACACAAAATTTAAATTTATATTTAAATTAAAGTACCTTCTTCAAAATATTTCTTTGGAATATTTTGATGTCAAAATTTTAAATAAATTTGTTAAAGATAAGCTTTTCTTTTGGGGTGACACATGGAATCCAAGCATACACTTAGTAAGACTTATGTGATCCAGCATGGGGTTG